>NC_000006.12:9908484-10060000 GCF_000001405.40 Homo sapiens | reverse complement strand
CAAACAGGAAATTGATGAGGGGGGGAGGAGGAATCAGAACAAATTAAGAGATATTTTCCTCCTGACATTCTTTTCTCAGGGCTTAATCTACACCTTTTGCAGGATGGAAGAATCTCAAACACATTGCCTGTCCGTGAAGAGTCTTTGTAATTGTGGATTAACTTTCTAGTAACCGGCATATATTCCAGATGTAGATTTAGTTTTTCTCAATGCATTTTTTTTGTATTTATAAATTTGCACATTCAAAGAACCCTTTAGGCATGGTGATGGCCTGAATGGCATTGACAGTCCTTATCTTCATGCTCAGAGGTGAAAAGCCAGGTGAAGAGCAGTACCTGCAGAACCATGTCTAAGAAAGAACTATTCTAATTTTGGACACTGCCCATCCAAAGGGCACAAACAAACACAATTTAAAAAATTTAATGGAGTAGGAAAAGAATAAGATTAGCCATCAAAGGAACTGGCCTCTGGTCTGCCTGGCACAGAGACAACCACTTAAGGTCTTGGAGCCTCAGTTTTTACTGCTTTGACTTGAGGTTGGCAGATGGCACGTGGCATGGGAGAAACATTGAACAATGATGTTGAACTAAGAGAATCTCAAAGATCCATTCCAGTCCTAAAATTCTTTTGAATCCTTTTATTTCCTTAGATGCTCTATAAATATGTTCTTAAAAGGTTAGCTCTGTTCTTTCTTTTTCTAGATCTTTGCCTTAAAGTTTTGATGAAGCACCGGGGTTTGTACCTGGTTCTTTTAACACTGTTTGTTTACACCTGGGCACAGACAAGGAGGGGCTGGAATTCATTGCCTCAATCCCGGCATGTTCCCCACCAGACTGTAGGCTGCTATAAATCATTTTACTAGGTTCTATTTCCTGAATATTTCTTTTAGGTAGTGGGGGAGGGTGGGCTATAGAATTCAAAACAGATTTATTCAAAGGCCTTTGAGAATAAACTGCAAGGGATGACCCAGCTGTTGCTGCTCCTGCATCACACAGTGAAGGACTCCCAGAGAAAAAGACTAATAATTAGTTTCATTTGTAGGTGAAAGAAGGTCTTTGAAGACGTCTGGCATTAATTATAATGGTGGGCACTGTTGCCATTTCCAAATCCTGCTTTGTAGATCACGCACTGTCATTTTAGAGAGGGCTTTGCATCTCCTCTTTAAGAGGAAGAGAGTACTTAATAGGGCATGAGTGGTAAAAGTCTGGACAGATACTGTGGGCAAGGTTAAATAACACATTACGTCCCTTTCTTGGAACACTCATCCTTGAAAGTTGAATTACAGGCTCCTCTGTGTAATAGGGGCTTTTCTCTTTGTCCTAAGAAACAGGCTAACGTTCTGAATGGCAGCAGCCGTGCAGTTGTGCTTCAACTACATCTTGCACTTGGTCATTGGCCTGAGTTTTTCTTTTCACCCTATTTTCTTATCACCTTGTGAATCCCTTCTATCCCTGCTCCAACCCCACATCATCCTAGTTTCCATACCATTTGAACAACTACTGAACTCTAAACACATGCTTTGTGAGACAAGCAACTTCAGATGCCCTGCTGGGTGACTTCACTGGCTACCAGATTATCAGCATCTGGAAATCCCCAGGTGCCATATGGCCCAGGGCCATAGAGTCTTTGGGTCCCATATGACCCAGTGGACTCCTAGGTCTGGTGAGTTCAATATATGGTGGGACCCAGGGCCTGAGAGGGCTCAAAGCATTGCTCTCACAAAGCTGATTCTACTCCTTCTCTGCTTTCCTACAACTCTACTGCTACTAGTACTAATTGAAATAACTCTTATTTACTGAGGCTTTACTGTGTATTAAGAACTACTTTTCATGCAGTCTCACATTTAATCTTTACAAGAAATTTGTGAAGTTCTAAAATACTTCCATTTTGTGCACAAGGAAACCGACACAGGGAGGCAAAATAATCTGTACTTGTTACACACTCAACATTAGAGTTGAATTTTTAATGCAGGAGGTTCTGATCCCAAGGCCCAGCTGTTAACCATGAGTGTTGCTAGCTATGTGGAGCCCCAAGAAGTCCTGTGATCCAGTGCTCCATTTGCTTTCTGAATATTAAAACTTGTTGCCTCTTTTTGTATATCTGAGGCCAGAATATCTAATGGACCCCTGGGCCCCAGCCTCTTCTCCTCGCCGATTTATTGACCTGTCTCTAAGAATGACAGGTTTGGACAAGCACATTGTGTTAGTTATCAATGACTGGATGACAAATTACCCCAAACATGGTGGCCTAAAACAACAAGCCTCTATTATCTTACAGTTTTAGAGGATCGGGAGTTTGGGAGTGGCTTAGTTGGGTGCTTCTGGCTCCTGGCCTCTCTTGAGGTTGTAGTCAGTTCATTGTCTGAGGCTGCACCGTTTGAAGGTTTGACTGGACCTTGAGAGAAGGCTTGTGCCCTTGGCTCTTGGCTGGAGGCTTCAGTTCCATGCCAAAACTACCTCTCCACAAGGCTGCCTGAGTGTCCTCAAAACAAAGCAGTTGGTTTCCCCTGAGTGAGTATCCAAAAGAGTCCCCAAGACAGAAGCCACAGTCTTTTCAAAACCTAATCTTGGAAATGACACACCTTCATTTCAGTGGTGTTATGTTTACTAGAAGCCAGTCACTAAATCCAGCCTGCTTGCTCTCGAGGACAGGGGAATAACACTAGGCTTCCTGAAGACAGATGTATCAGATAATTGATGGACATATTTTTAAAATCACCAAATGGAGATACCTGAGAAGTTACTTCAGGCAAGCAGGTCTTGGTAACCTCAGGACTGAACTTCATTTATTGAGATATCTAGGGTAGAAAAGAGAACATTCTACTTAGAGTCAGGTAAAACTGTTCCAATACAGCCTTTGCCAGTTATAAGTTGTACTAGCTTGGATGACACTCAACTGGTGCTTCAGTTTCCTAATGTGGAAAATTGAGATGATAGTGCTTCATTTTCGTGTTATGAGAATTTATAAATTAGAAATTCTGTGAAAGTGCTCTGGAAAAAGCTCCCAACCCAAAGAAATGATAAATGCTTGAGCTGATGAATATGCTAATTACCCTGATATGATCACTATATGTTGTATGTATTGAAACATTGTTCCCATGAATATGTACTATCGTTATTCATCAATTTAAAAAATAAGATTACAAAAGATATAGAATCAGGTACACAAACCTGAAATGGATATTCCCAACAAAGAAGAATCTATTTTTATATAATTTTATTATTTTCCAACTGTGAAAATAACAGGTTCAGCACGTTAAAATACTGAAAATATAGGACTACAGAAAAGGATATAGAACTAAAAACAGTATATAGAACAGAAAAATATAGAACTACAGAAAAGTATAAAACTTTATCTTAATTTTAGAATAGAATAAAGCCACACTTAATACCTCAAGAAAAGCTATGAAAATAGAAAGTACGTTTGAATAATTTTGAATATTAGAAAGCTCAACGTTGTGTTTATGTCTCCTGGATAATACAGAAATAATAATTTAGAGCTAAAAATACATCTAAAATTCTCATATTCTTTTCCATTTAGCAGAGTATTTATTGAGTTACCAGAAGAACTTTCCAATAAACTTATATCATGGGCTGTACTAGGCGTAAGGAAAAGAATGTTATTAAGTGTGTAACAATGCACGTATTTTGGTCAAGACAAAAGCAGCCATTAAGACAGTTAAAATAAGCAGCCGGATCAGAAAGTGTAATTGAATATTTGAACCTATAGAGAAAAGACATCAGTGCTAATTAACAAATTATCAAACTCACACAGTTTTAAAGATAATTTTATAAAACCTATTTCTCCTTAAAGAATATTGCTGTCAACAGTTCCTGTCACTGAATACTAATGCAAACTTTTCCCATTCCCTTCTACAAAGTAAACAGAAAAGAGAGAGAGAGAAATTGTGATTGTAAGGATTTTATTTGGAATCTCAACACAGTGAAATTTGCATAAATTCTAATAAAGCAAAATTAAAATCCATTAACACTTGTCTCTGGTAATTAACGTAAGCTTGCTGTTTTAAATGACAGTGTTTCAGACATATGGAGCGAAGTAAGGATGGGAAAATGCAGAGCCATGGAAAAATATAAAGATTATAAACTAAGAATGATGTTACTCAGAAAGCCCCCAATTTTAGGAAGGAAATAAAAGTTATTTAGGCTTTGAAGAAACACTGAAAAATGCTTTCCATTTTATAATGTATAGATTCACTCAATTTTCACCAGATGTTTATTTTACAAGATACATATGACATTTACATTTATGTACATTAATGGTAATTTATTACTCAATTTTAATTACTACCCTCTGGAGGGAACAGAAGTGTTGACAAATATTGATTACTTAAGATGAACTACAGAAAACCCATATTTTCTGGTTGAAGAAAAAAGAATTTAAATTTTCTTTTTTGTGAATTCCTAAATATTTGAAGGAGTTAAGCCATAATGCATTGAGAATTAATATTTTGAACTTATTGATGTATTACCTCATGTTTAGGTCAAATTAGTTATTCTAGATCAAGTACATTTTGCTAAAATGGAAAATAAGTTTATCTGGAAAAAAGATAACAGATAAACTTGTCTTTAAAAGATCTTGTCTAGGATCACTGATTGCAGTTGCACCTCAATTGGAAGTGAAAACAGTGAAAAAACAAATGGAAGGAAACAAGAAGGTATCTTGGTGTTACAGTGACGGTGGCAGTGGTGGTGACGATGATAATGAATTGATATTTCTAGGGTACTTACTAGGTACCAAATACCGTGTTACTGTATTTGCAACAATATTCCTTATTTGCAACAATATAATTATACTATTACTACTAAAATGATAATAGCGATTTTTTTTGAGCATCTACTGTGTGCCAATTTTGGGCACTTTGCTAGGCACTTCACCCAAATTATTTCTAATCTTTATTATGATTCTGTAAGGAATGTATTATATTTCCTGTTTCATATGTGAGAACATTGAAGCTCAAATAATAAAAGTAGAATTTTCTAGCCACATAGTTTATAAGTGCAGCAGCCAGGGTTCACATATATATCTGTCTTGCTCCTTATCCTTTTCCATTTCACCACTCTTCAGTCTCATATGCCAACTTAGATTAATGATAGTATTCATAACAGTAATGAGAGTAGTGACATCATCACCACTATCATCACAGCCTACAATAGAAATTTATATCTGTAGAACATAATGTCTCAAAGTTCACTTGTGTTGTAGCATATGTCAGAATTTCCTTCCTTTTTAAGGTTGAATAATGTTTCATTGCATGTTTATACAATATTTTGTTTATTTGTGCATCTTTCAGTGGACATTTGGGTTGCTTCTACCTTTTCACTGTTGTGTAATGCTAATATGAACATGGGTGTGAAAATATCTTTTCAAGACCCTGTTTTCAATTCTTTTGGGTGTTTACCTAGAAGTGGAATTGCTGGATAACATGCTAATTCTATTTGTAATTTTTTGAAGAACTACCATACTGTTTTTCATAGTGGATGTGCCATTTTATATTCTTATCAATAGTACACAAAGTTTCCATTTTCTTCAGATCCTTGTCAACTCTTGCTATTTTCTGTTTTTCTTATAGTAACCATCTTCATGGGTGTAAAGTGGTATTTCATTGTGATTTTGATTTGTATTTCCATAATGATTAGTGATGTTGAGCATCTTTTCATGTGCTTGTTGGCCATTTGTACATCTTTTTTGTAGAAATGTCTATTCAAGTTCTTTGCCCATTTTTGAATCAAGTTGTTTGTTTTTGTTTTAGGACTTTTGACTTGACTTGTATATTCTGGATATTAACTTCTTATCAGATATGTGATTTGTAAATATTTTCTCCTATTGTGTGGGTTTTCTTCTAAGAGTTTTATAAGTTTAGCTCTTATGTTTGTCTCTTTGATCCATTTTGAGTTAATTTTTAGATACGTTGTTAGCAAAGGGTCCAACTTTATTGTATGTAGACATCTAGTTTTCCCAGCACCATTTGTTGAAAAGACTGTCTTTTCTACATTGAACGCTCTTGTCATTGTTGTCAAAAATCATTTGACTATGTATACAAGGATTAATTTTGAGCTTTCTATTCTATTCCATCGGTCTACATGTCTCTCTTTATGCCAATACCACACTGTTTTGATTACTGTAATTTTGTAGTAAATTTTGAAAACAGGAACTGTGAATCTTCCAACTATTTTTTAAAGATTGTTTTGCCTATTTGGGGTCCCTTGAGATTTCATATACATTTTAGAATGGAGTTTTCTATTTCTGCAAAAAATGTTCTTACGAATTTGATATGGATTACATTGAATTTGCAGATTGCTTTGAGTAGTGTTAACATCTTAATAATATTAAATCTTTCAATCCATGAATAGAGAATATCTTTTCATTTACCTAAGTCTTTAATTTATTTCAGCAATGTTTTGTAGTTTTCCTTGTAAAAGTCTTGGTAAAATTAATTCTTAAGTATTATTTTGTTATTTTTGTTGCTATTGAAAATGAATTTTTTTTTCTTAATTTTCTTTTTGGGTTGTTTATTGGTAGTTTATAAAGATCCCACTGATTTGTGCATGTTGATTTTGTATCCAATACTTCACTGCATTCATATTCTTTAGTTCTAACAGTTTTTTTGTGGGTGTTTGCTTGTGCGTGTGTGTTTGAGATCTTTAGGGTTTTCTACGTATACATATAAGATTATATCATCTGCAACAGAATGATTTTACTTTTTCTTTTCCAATTTGAATGACTTTTATTTCTTCTTCTTACTTTATTGCTCTCGCCAGGACTTTCAGTGCTATGTTAAACAGAAGTGGCAAAAGCAGGCATCCTTGCCCTGTTCCTCATCTTAGAGGAAGAGCTTTCAGTCTTTCACCATTGCATATGATTTGGATGTGGGTTTTTTGTATGTGGCTTTTATTATGTTGGGGCAGTTAACTTCTATTCCTAGTTTGATGAGTGTTTTTGTCACAAAAGGGTGTTGAATTTTACTAAATAGTTTGTCTGTGTCAATTGAGATGATCATGTATTTATTTTTCTTTCATGCTGTTACTGTAGTATATTACATTGATTAATTTCCATATGTTGAATCATGCTTGCATTCCAGGAATAAATCCCACTTGGTCATGGTATATAATCCTTTTATTATGGTGCTGAATTTGGTTTGCTAGAATTTTATTGAGGATTTTTGCATCAAAGTTCATTAGATATATTGGTTTGTAGTTTTATTTCCTTGTAGTGTCTTTATTTGACTTTGGTATTAGGGAAATGCTGGTATCATCGAACGAGTTAGATGGTGTTTTCTCCTCTTAAAATTTTTGTAAAAATTTGAGAAGGATTGGTGTTAATTTTTCTTTAAATGTTTGGTGGAATTTTGTGTTTTGGTAAGTGTCGTGTTTCTAGAAATTTGTTCATTTCATCTAGATTATACAGTTGGTTGGTGCATAATTGTTCAAAGGAAACGCTTAACGATTCTTTTTATTTCTGTAGCATTGGCAATGTGTTCCCAGTTTCATTTTTGATTTTAGTAGTTTGAGTCTTCTCTTTTCTTCCCCAATCTAGCTAAAGGTTCACCAATTGTGTTAATATTTCCAAATAACCAACTTTTGGTTTCATTGATATTCTCTGTTGTATTTTTTTATTTCATTATCTCTGCTACAATTTTGATTATTTTTTTCCTTCTCCTAGCTTGGGGTTTAGTTTGTTCTTCTTTTTCTAATTTCTTAGGTTGTAAAATTCAGTTGTTGATTTGAGGTCTTTTTTTTTTTTTTTTTTAGTATAAGCATTTATAGCTACAAATTTCCCTCTTAGCACTGCCTTTACTCTATCTCATAAGTTTTGATATGTGATATTTTCATTTATATTTGCCACTTTCAACATATTTATGTCTTTAGATCTAAAGTTTGTCTCTTGTAGACAGTGTATGGTCGATCATGTTTTCCTATTTGTTCTTTCAAACTCTGTTTTTTGATTGAAGTGTATAAATTAGATATAAATTCCATTTATATCTAACATAATTACTGATAAAGAGAGGCTTACTTCTGTTATTTTGCATATGTTTTCTATGTGCCTTTTAGATTTTTGTCCCTCATTTCGTGTATTATCATCTTCTTTTAAATTTAATTATTGTTTTTATAGTGAAACATTTTAAATCCTTTCTAATTTCCTTTTGTATATAGTCAATAGCTATTGTGTCACAAAATTGGATTTGTTACATTTTGTGTACCAAAACATAGACTAATGATTTTCCATACATTAATCTCTTAAATCATGTAGAAAACAAAAGTGGAGTTATAAAGTTACAATAATGCTAGCTTTTATAATTACCCATGTACTTACCTTTACTCTGATCTTTACTTCTTATGGTTTTGAGTTACTGTCTAGCATCTTTTCATGTCAACCTGAAGGAATTCCTCCTACATTTCTTGCAGGGCAGGTCCAATGATAATGAACTCCTCTGCTTTTATTTATCTGGGAAAATTAATTTCTCCCTCATTTTTGAAGAATCATTTGCTAGATATAGGATTCTTGGTTGACAGTTTTTTTTTTCTTCTTTCAGCTCACTACATTCTGAATTCCAAGATTTCTGATGAGAAATCTGCTGATAATTTTCTTGAGGATCCCTGGCATGTGATAGGTCACTTCTCCCTTACTGCTATTTTTCAAGATTTCCTCTTTGTCTATTGAGAGTTTGATCATAATGTGTCCTGGTGTAGATTTATTTGAATTTATCCTACATAGAGTTCTTTGAGCTTCCTGGATGTTTATATTCATGTCCTTAATCCAATTTGAAAAGTTATCAGCTGCTGTTTCTTCAAATTATCTCTTTGCCCCTTTTTCTTTCTCTTCTTTTTCTATGACTCCCCTAGTGCATAAGTTGGTCCGCTTGATGGTGTCCCACAAGTTCATTGGCTCTGTTTACTTTTCTTTAATCTTTTTTCTTTCTGTTTCTCAGACTTGATCAACTATTTTATCATCAAGTTTACTGATTTTTTTCTTTCGTCTCATTAAATCTGCTTTTGAATCCTCTAATAAATTTTTCATTTAATGTAATTGTACTTTTTAGATATAGGTTTTCTTTCTAGTTTCTTTTTATATTTTCTAGCTCCTTATTGATATTTCCATTTTGTTTGCGCATTATTTTCTAGACTTTCTCCATGTTGTTCTTTAGTTCTTTGCACATCTTTAAGGCAGCTGTTCCTTGTCTAGTAAGTGCTATCTAGTTTCTCTCAGGGACAGTTTGTGTTTATTTATTTATTTATCTGTGCATGGACTATATTTCCTGTTTCTTTGTATGATTTTGCTTTCTGTTGGAAACTAGATGTTTGAATTTTATAATGTGGTAACTGGAAATCAGACCCCTGTTTTCCCCAGGGTGTTCTGTATTATTTTGCTTTCTTTCCTTGTTTCTTTCTTTGGTTGTTGTTGGCTGTCTCTGTGCCAGGGATGTGTAAACTTAAGTTTTTCTCAGTTATTCTCTTAGCCTGCACCTTTCCCTAGATGTGTATGGTAACTTTCTAAATTCCTTTTTAAATATGATTGCTTTTGAATATCCTAGTTCTTAAATATCTTTCTTAAATAAGGGAAAAAAGAGGAAAATAAAGGGAGAAAAATGTGCTGGCTAATATCCTGGAAGTTGCTTCAGCTAGAGGGGGAGGGCCTTGCCAAATGGCTGCCCACCTCTGTGTCTGCATTTCCACAATCAGTCATGTTTTTTGTGGTACTAATTTATTTACCATTATATCAAGAGTGTTTTCCTTCATGGATGCATTTGTTTTTCTTAGAAGTGGTATGGGTCATAGAATTGTATGACTTAAAGGACATGAAATGTCATCTTCAGGGGATGTCTACTTTTTTAAATGCCAGCACCTGAAGGATGTAACATAATTCCATAGATAAAAGGATTGTCAAGTGGGCAAGGGTGGGAAATATCATTTTAGAGAAGAGTAATTTTAGAATCTCAAGAGGCTGTAGTTTGAAATAATCCTTCCCTCTGAAGATAAACAAATTATCGTCTTCTCTTTTTAACCCTACTCTCTGATAACAACTTGAGAGACCCCAAATAGTAAAAACCCTTCTATTTACAATGGCAGAAACTGAGACTCAGGAAGCTAAATAACACATGGGTAGAGGCAGGGGTGAAACCAAGATCTAGCTCAGTGCTTTTCTCATTGATCCTGGCTTTTCAATAAAACTATCAGAATGGCAGAAACTTCTTCATTGTTAATACATTTCAATTTTTACCTTAATTTTGCCCAACTAACATAGAAAACTTAATTGTTTCAATTAATATAGCAAAGTGTCATGCCAGGCACTTGGGGGAATAGAGAAGACATAAAAATATTTAGCTTGAAATTACTTTATAATCATAAAGCTAAATATATACATATACTATCTACCTATAAAAATTAAAAATTAAAAAAAGCTAAGCAAACATTTATTTCAATCCTCATTCCTTTCATTGTTGTGATTGGAAGCAGCCAGTAAGTCTTCCTGTTTGTTTTTGGTATGGAATAAAGTTGAAGTATTACTATTTCTATTTAGTAAACCAATAATCCACTTCTCAAAATAAGGTACATTATTTCCTACAGTTTACATTTTGCCAGTAGTAGTCAAATCTTGATCATCAATATTCTTTTCTACTCAGTAAAGGAACTCAAATTCACCTTTGAGGACCATTTGAATAGCTAGAGATTTCAAAATGCCTTGAAATGAATAAATATTTTATGAAATACTAATTATTAATAGTAGTCACTCTTCTGTCAGTTACCACCTCACCTCATCATCCCCTCACATCCAGGACTTGAACATTTCTAGTTAAAATTAGTATATAAAACATTCCCATGCAAGGCTGCTGCATTAGGCCGCTCACTGTGCACTGAACACCCTCAGGGAGCACCATTGAAAATGACGTCATCTTCTATAATAAACAACACCACGTTTTTAAGGAATACTGCTTTAAATAAATTAGTATGAGCTCTTCCTGTTATTTCAAGAGTGGTTTACTTGTTATAATTCAAATGTGGTAACTGTCTGAATGTCTCCTGATGGCAGGGTTATGAAGGACACAATTTCAAAAATTGGAAAAATAAATACTGGAATGAATAGGTGATGGGAGATAGGACTTCTGTTTCTAATCCTTTCACTGGTTTGCCTGTGGATGTTGAGCAAGTTGTTTAGACACTTTTTAGCTCACTTCGTTCTTCAAGAAGCTATGGCCAGTGATGTTTGCTTCATAGTCCAAAGGGGATATTTGACAATATGATTCATATACTTTGCAATTCTGAGATAAAACTGGGCACTATAGACATCCTTATTGTAGACTTTAATATTTACAAAGTTAACACTAGAACATGTGCTATGGTATTACTGTGAGACATTCCTTTTCTCGGCTGCACCAGGTACTGAATTCACTGATTTCCTTGAAACCTGAGCCATGGGCAGATAAGGGTGAGGGCTGTCGCACAACTGGGAAAAGAGTGCTAACTGGCCATACTGCAGGGCTCAGCATTACTGTGGCACCCATCTTCCTTATTCTCCCCCCTTCCACCTGTTGGGGTCTTTGGTAGCAAAATGGCTTCAAAACTGAGAGGGTGAGCAGAATCTGAGGGAAATTACACAAGGAGACACCATCTGAGAATTAGGGATCACGTCCTACACATCCTTACAAACTTTGCCTTACCTGGCAAGGGGCCTTGCATCTGGCATCAGTGCACAGGTACTTTTAAAATCAATGTGCCAATGAGACATATGTTTTCTTATCCTATTGAAAATGGTAAGTTCTTAATATGCGTTTCTTGAATATTAATGAATAGTTTTTTTATCACACTTGTAATTTAGAACCCTTTGCTATAAAAGTAAAAGGCACTGTTCAGGATATCTTCTCTTCTGGTTTTCTGATTTTCTAAATACTGTTTGTTTTTTCAGAGTGCACACTATATCATATTTATATAATTCAGTTACATAAATAAATATGTGTGTATATGTATGTATGTGTGTGTATATCTGACAATTATTATGATTTTTCAAAGCTCATGGTGAAATTCCAGACCAAACCAAAAAAAGTGTCCAAAGGGCAATGCTGGTTGACATTTCCTATAAAGCCTTCAGAAGTTTTAAGGATTTAAAATTTTCTCAGGAGATCGAGAGAGAAAGAGTGTGTGTGTGTGTGTGTGTGTGTGTGTGTGTGTGTGTGTGACTGACTGTGGGCAAGATGTTTCTGCCTGCTCCTCTGAGCTCCATGAAGAACTTGTAGAAACAGGTCTTCTTTTCACAGAATGTTAACATGTTGTTAAGTCTAATACAAAGGCAATGACTTCGAATATAATGACAAATCAATACAAAGCTTCAAATGAGGGCTTTTTAAGGACTTTACACTGTCAAATAAATATCCGGCTTAGCATTAAAGTCTGACTTAAAGAGATGAGCATAAATACCACATACCTTCATCGACTAAAATTAACACAGAATGGAACCTTTGTCACACACACCCAATATTTGTCCTTTTCTTTTGAATGGGGCTATTATTTAACATTTGTTGAACCAGATCTATGCAGTGCACAAACTGCTTTCTGTGATAACTTGAACACTTCTGTTAATGGAATTAACTTGCACACACAAGAGGATCCCTTTTAGTACATCACAGGCCTGTGCACTCTGGAGTCAATACTTTCTCTTTGTCTGGAAAATTGTAGGAGGTCCTGTTTTATTTTAAGAAAAACCCAAAAAGAGTGAAACCACTTTATGTAGAGATTTCTCACCTGCTACTTTGAATAGTTTGCTTCCCCTCGATCCCCTCCTACCTCATGAACTTTCGAAAATTCTTGTTTGCAATTATTTGTTTAAAATATCAAAATCAGCAGTTCTGCATTGATTTTTTTCATCTCTATAAGCCATTAAATGCACAGAGTTGATTATAAGTTGTTTTCTAAGGCAGTGATTCCCAAATCTTTATTTCAGTAGTCATACCTGACAGGTAAGGTTTATTCATGTGTCACATTCCCTAATTCTTTCAGTTTTCTTTGTATCATTTATGACACAGATGAAGGACAAAGAGGGGGAGAAGGAAAAAGAAAAATTTTGGTTGGTGTTCCTCTTTATTCAAGAACATTACTGTGCACACAAATATATGCTTTTTTTCCTAGAGATAAAATACAGCATCCAAACTTCAATGAGTCAACTGAGATAAAAATACTATTTTTTGTTGGCCATGATTGAAGTTCTCTCTCTTGCACCCCCCCTCCCACCGTCTCTTTCTCTCTCTGTCTTTTTGCATAAATCACAAGCTTGAAGCTTCATTTATTATTTCCAGCTTATCTTTCTTTAAAGTGGAACAAGATAATGTAGAAATTATGTAGATTTTATTTTTTCCTAATTTTAATTTTTGCCCTGTTTTGACAAATTCTTCACTTATAACTGACTTGATAACAGTTTTTCCTAGTGACTTACTTTTATTGAAAACATGTTCATTTCAGTGGGTGCTGATAAATCAATTATCGTTGAACTTTCTCTTTTTGCATTCAGATTTAACTTTTAATAAATAAGTACAATTACCTAATTAAAAATATAGCACATGTGACATAAACAGGGTTGAGAATATTTATTTTTTTCCTTTATATTTTTCTTTTTAACATTTAAATTCATATTTAGGTAACTATGTTTGCTTTGTACTGTTAGTAACAGAAAAAACTTGAAACAACTGAAGTTTCTATTAATCATGTTCTACCTCTCTTCCTTTTCACTAGGCAGATGAGTTAGAGAAATGTGAACATATGCCTGGGAGCATCATTTTTGTTCAAGTTTCAAGTTAGAAACTTCATGGGAGCATTTCCACATAAGTAGGGCTAGTAGAAAATTTATCTTTTAACATTATTTAATTATCATTAATTTCTTTCTTCTCATCACAAAGGCAATATTTACTACAGATAAAATTTTAAAAGTAGAAAACACAAACAAAAAGAAGGCATACTTGTCTGAAATGAGTTAACAACAAACTAAACAAAAATGAGAGAGTTTGTGTATGGGAGGGCAAAGATTTTCTGAAAAAAGAAAATGATTAAAAATTAATGAAAGTTACAAAACTTTGCATGCATCTCTGCTGCATGAAAATCTCTTATACTTGAAGATCAAATGATCAGGAAACATAGGTTATCTATTTTCATGTGTTCCAGAGGTTTCTCATGTAGGCCATATAGTTTTGGCATGACAAGTTCTAATTCCTCTTTTACAATCTAAGTTCAGTGATGCTTTTATTATCATAAAAGTCAATATCAATTTTTTTCCAACTGGGCATCTTGTTTCTGATTATATGAAACATTCTTTTATTACTTAAAAGTATAGCAGAATTTTAGAAATGTTCCCAAAATAGTGAACTAAACCCTTGAAAAACTGTGATAGCCTCTTGTTAAGAATCACACAACAGTGGAAATAAAAAATAAACAGGTGGTTCTTCAAATGCAGCCAAAAAAGGACTAACTGCGTTTAACAGAGTTAAAACGCTCATGCATTTTCTGATTTAACAGATTGACCCTTCCTGGGGCTTTTATTTTACTTAATACTACAGAGTCAAACAGTATGTTTTATTAAGTATGGTACTCTGGCATTTTGTGGTATGTGTGCGTGTGTGTGTGTGTGTATGTGTGTTTGTGTATGCTTACAAGTTCAGTTCACTGTTTTGGCCAAATTATTTTCATAACCGTAGTATTTTTGACTAAACCACTTAGTTTTTCACTTTGCTGGTTAAGTGGTAGAGATGGAATACAAGCTATGGATCACCTGGCACAAAACCCCATGTGTTTCATGCTACAAAATGGATACTTGAATAGGATAATGAACCTTGGACTATGCTAAGTGAAATAAGCCAGTCACAGTGGACAAATATTGTAATTCCACTTCTATTAAAGGCACACAGAGCAGCCAAATTCATAGAGACAGAAAGTAGAATGGTGATTGCTAAGGGGTGGGGAGAGAGAAGGATGGAGAGTTAGTGTTTAATGCATACAGAAGCTCAGTTTTGGAGGATGAAATAATTCTAAAGTTGGATGGTGGTGGTAGGTGTTCAACATTGTGAACTTGCACAGAACTGTATGCTTCAAAATGGTTAAGTTGTAAAGTTCATATTGTGTTATTCAACTATAATTAAAAATGATTTAAAAGAAGCTCATGCATTTTCTGATTTAACAGGTTGACTCTTCCTGGGGCTTTTATTAATACACATTTGATAATATGTAATTTATTTTTATTTTAGCATATCAATTTTAAAGATCTCTGGAAATCAGTAGTTTAATTCATGAGAATATTCAACATATAGTCCCAACTTGAGATAATTTCTGAAGAGTCTAAAATGGTGATTACCATTGGATTGGAAACTAAATCAAGGTCATATATAAAAACCTTAATGATTCCTTATGTGTGATTAGTGTTTGACAGTGTATAAAATGTTTGAGAGGGGAGCTAATTTTTAAAATTGTCACAATAAACTCATGAGTATTATCTGTATTTTTATGGATTAGAAAATGGAGGCAGAGAGATAAAATATCCCATAGAGATAAGTGAGTCTTCTGACTCCACTGCTAGTAGTTACCATTTAGCCAAGGAGAGAGAAGAAATGAACTAACAAGCATGGCGGCCTTACCAAAAGCAACACCAAATCCTGACTATGGCCTCTTTAGGGAGCGGGACTCACATATTAGGGCACATTAAACATACTTGCAGGACAAGGGCCATGGTGCAGGAGGGCAGAAAACACACAGGGAAGAAGGGTGTGAGGGGATATACATGGGGTCAGTCCATGTTAAGTCTGATTTTTGGAGCTTCCACTTTGTAAAACCTCCATAATGCACAGTAGCACCTAGGGGGATAATCCATTCAACTTAATAGTGAAGCCTTAAATTGATAATCAGCGAACTCTGTTTTGTCCCCTAGTTCCGTAACTGTTTTAGTGCTTGTAATCTTGCATCTCAAGAATCTTGCATTCTCTCTCTCACACACACACACACACACACACACACACACACACACACCCCTAAAGTAGACAACAAAATCCAAGCACCCCAAACACAGCCAACACAGAATAAACCCTCACTTTTGTGTCTGGATGGAATGTCTCCCCTTATGTGTGAGTCTGTTGTCTTTGTATTAGATGGTAAGTGCCTGGTAGGCGGGGACCCTGTCATTCTGGATTAAGTCTCCTATAGGCTTAGTGAGTCACCACAAGCCAGGGAGTGCTTATTAGACATTACTTGACTGACTGTTAAGACAAGTAATTAGGCCAGGAGAAATGCTAATTTTAAAATGTCTGTAAATTCCCGAACTTCACACGAGGAAAGTCCAGTGACCTGGGTTAGCTCTTGGGAATTAGTAATGTGATACAGAATCTTTCCCCTTTGTGTCACCTGTTACAATTTGGCCTCCCTTTTATGTGACTGGAAATCATTACCAGCAGGTAGCTCTACCCAGCCTGGTGTCTACAACCAGAGTGATGTGGAAGATCCTGGTGACATGGGGCAGGTAACAATCTGCATTTATCAATTTTCCTGGATTGTTCAGACAATTCGATCACTCCACGAAGGCCTGTGAGCCCATTTTGGTGGATCAGCATTGCGGTAGGTTACGAACTGAGTTTGAGGACAAACAAATCTTTCTTTTATCTAAGGCAAGGTCTACAATGGTCCATCCTTCCTTTTATTGATGTTATAAGAAGATGTATTTTGATAGGATAATCTTATAGTAGAAAAACACCTATTTGAAGAGATAGGAGGCTGAACAGTGCCTAGAATGACAATATAGGGGATCTTGAGGGAGCTAGACTTTCTCACATCACATGATATACCTCACAGGAAATTTTGGGAACCACACTGCACGTTTTGGCTACATTAAAATGGTGTCAGGTATTTCAGTTACCAAAAAAAAAAAAAAAGTAAAACATTGAAGTGTATATTGCTGGGCTCCCCCTAAAACACGGGAAAAACAACTCTACTTAAATAGAGATGCTATGGTTTTGTGGAAAAATGAATGGATTTCGAATTAGAAGAGCTGATTTTGCAAACTAGCTCAACTATCCTAGCTGGGTAATTTGGTCAGTCTGAGCCTCTGTCTTCACCTATACAAATGGAAACAGGAATATATGCTTGGAAAGGTGGTTATATCTGCAAATAATATGTATAGATGCACCCCCCTGCACCACCACACACCTCTAGAAGTTAAAGCTTAATTCTTCTCCCTTTGAATAAGCCTTCACTTAGTGACTTGCTTCCATTGAATAAAGTAAGGAGAGAGGAAAAATTGTAATTTACAGTGTGAAAAACTGTCAAATGTTACCTTACCTAAGTGATCAAGGTCAACATCACAAGTGGTAAGTGATGCTGATGTTACATGCCCTCTGAGATTCTGTAATGAAACGGACACTTCATCTCTGTGATTTTCTTTCCTCAGAACACATAACTCAATCTAACCGTGAGTAAACACTGGACAAACACAATTGAGGGACATTCTGTAAAACACCTGATCCAGACTTTTCAAAATTGCCAAGTCATGAAAAACAAGGAAAGATTAGAAACTGTCACAGGCTGCTTGAGACTAAGGAGAGATGACAAATGTAATGTGGTGTCCAGAATTGGATTCTAGAACAGGAAAAGAACATTAGTAGCAAAATCGTTGAAATCTGAGTAAAGTGTGTAGTGTAGTGAAGAGCGTTGTACTAATGCTAATTTCTTAGTTTTGGCAAATGTATTGGTTATTTATGTAAGATAGTAACATTAGGGAAGCTAGGTAAATTACCAGGATAAGAGAACTCTGTGCTATCTTGGCAACTTTTCTGTAAATCCAAAGTTATTCAAAAGTAAAATAAGAAATAAAAAGGTGATATGACAACTGAGATCATGTGCAAAATAGGACTTTGCAGATGTATAGGACTATACAAATGTAAGTAGTATTTTTTTTTTAATCAGAGTATCTGCACTTTGACCTTCGAAAACTTAGGTGATCCACGCGGACAATCTGTGATATATCAATAGTCAAATCCTGGACTAATAAATAGTGGGTAGTTTCCCTTCTTTCCCCCTCTTTAGTCTACGAAGTAAATTAGTTTGGGGTTAACGATGACTAGTATCTCCAGAGTGACAAGAATTTTGAGGAAGAATTCAACTACTATCCATTCATTCTATTTGTAGGCAGCTCAGGTCATGACTTGCACATTAATAATGAAGTAATTGATAGAGTATATAAATATGTAAATTTCATTTACACAAACTTGGACAAAATTGGGCAGTAAATTATAAATCCAGAATCTACAAGGTGTCTATAAAGATTAAGGTAATTTTCCATTTTCTTTAGAATTGGCAGCACTAGCTAAAGCAAGATCAATATTAATTAAGAAACCTAGAGAGAAGAATAAAAAATTACTGAAATTGGATGGTTAACAGAACTTGTTATGTAATTCAGAAGTTAGAACTGTAGAATTGGAAGTGGAAGCGACCTTAGAAACCATCTGCTCCAATCTTCATATTTTAAGGTGGGAATAAGAATATTTAATTTACAGATGCTGAAAGGCCGTTTCAAGATCATTCCACTGGTTAGTAAAGACACAGAACATGGGTTTACTGTCCCACATATTCCTCTGAGACAGGGATTCTTTATGGGGGCCCATGAGCTTCAGGAATCTCTGAATACTGGGAATTATAGGCATAAACTTACCTGTATGTGAATATTTGAATTTTTCTGAAGAAGACCTGTAGTAGCTTCTATCAGATCCTTAAAGCAGCCTTAACTCTCGGAAAGATGAGAGCACCTGCTCTCGAATTCAAAACCTTTGCTCATTATAATGGTTCCTACAACATTCTAGAATCATTTAAATGCTTCTAAAACTTGCATCAGATTTTAAATGAGCAAACAGTAGCTCTGGCCTAATTGGTTCCCAGAAGTTACCATATTCCTTGAGGGAATCAGATTTTACCTGGACATACTATCCTTTTTTTCCTAAGAACAGAGTAGTCTTCTGCTATGGTCTCAATGTGTCTCCCAAAATTCATATGCTGAAACTTAATAGCCAATGTTATAGTCTTAAGAGATGACGTCTTCAGGAGGTGAGTAAGGCATGAGAAGTGTACCCTCATGAAAGGGACTAGGGCCCTTTTAAACGGGCTTGAAAGAGTGGGTTTGCTTTCTTCCATCCCTTGCACCAAGTGAGGACACAGCAAGAAGGCACCATCTTGGAAGCAGAGAGCAGGCCCTCACTAGACACCAAGTGCCAGCACTTTCCTCTTGGACTTCCCAGCCTCCAGAACTGTGAGAAATAAGTTTCTGTTCTTTGTCAATTACCCAGTATGTGGTATTTTTGTGTCCAGAGTTGGTTCTTGCTGGTGGGTTTGGGGTCTCGCTGACTTCAAGAATTAAGCCGTGGACCTTCGTGGTGAGTGTTACAGTTCTTAAAGATGGCACGGACCCAAAGAGTGAGCAGTAGCAAGGTTTACTGTGAAGAGCAAAAGGATAAAGCTTCCACAGCGTGGAAGGGGACCCCAGCAGCCTGCCACCGCTGACTGGGGGTGGCCAGCTTTTATTCCCTTATTGTCCCCTCCCGTGTTCCGTTTCTGTCCTATCAGAGTTACCTTTTTTCAAACCTCCCCACGATTGGCTACTTTTAGAATCCTGTTGATTGGTGCATTTCATAGAGTGCTGATTGGTGCGTTTTACAATCCTCTTGTAAGACAGGAAAGTTCCCCAAGTCCTCACTCAACCCAGAAGTCCAGCTGGCTTTACCTCTCATTTTGTTATAACAACACAAACTAAGACAGCTTCTGTCTATGAGGTAAAAGATAAATGATGAATTGAGCGCCTATTATGTACAGATCCTTGTTCTGGGTGCTTTATATATATTAACTAATTTAATCCTTAACCATTATAACAGGGAGGTACTAATATTGTTGAACTTTATAAATGAAGAAACTAAGGTACAGAGGGGCTTCATAACTTGCCTGAAAGTCACCAAGCTCCTAAGTAGTAAAGGCTTTTTTTTTTTTTTTTTTCTTTTTGAAGCCAAGCTTTAGGGCCTGTACTTGTAACATCATACTGTGCTTCTTTATTCTTGATATATTGTTTATTTGCATGGTGTGTTGAATAAGCAAGCCTTTTACCGACTTTCTTAAAGTGTAACCGTGAAGGTGACAGAATGTAGGGGCAAAAAAGTATGGGTTGGTAGGTAGAATTGTATAAATGCAAGTAGTTCTGTCTTTTCCTGCTGCTAGCTTACCTAGGTCAAGTAACTCCCCTATTCTAAGTCTTGCTTCTCCAATCTCTAAAATGAGGCTGATGATAGTGTTTATCTTATAGGGATGTTCAGAGGATGTAATGAGATAATCTGCTTAACATTGTATATGCCAAATAGCCTATTCTTTTTAAATGTTAGCAATTATTATTATAACTGGATATACAAATTTGAATTCACTTCATTATATGCTTTTCATCAAAAAAAAAGTGGAGCAAAAAGGTGGGTAATGTTAACATAGGTTAAATGAAGTAGATATCAGTATCAATTGAATTCACCAAGATTTCAACTCACACTGATATCTACTTCATAAATTTCTGAAACAGCAATATAAAAAGTTACCATGGCTGGTAGAAAACAAACAAAAACCCCACTAATTCAACATAATCCAATGTCTTTGAAGGATGGACATTTTACTTTTAGAATCAGATGATGTCAAATGCCAGTGACTGCTCTTTCATTGACACTTAGGTTTTTTTGGAAACTGTAGAACTGGTGTTTGATGTACTAATATACTTCATTGTACTTATCCTGTGGCCTGAAATACAATTGCAAAAATATCACGTAATACATGATTAAGGAGTAGCTTAAATGAGGGGAGTTTATGCCTTATTATGCAAAAATGGGTAGGAGTTATCAACATTTAACATTCAGATGAATGATTTATATAGCACACTTCAGGTATAAAAATTACAAATTATGGTGATTCTTTGCTCTGCATTCATATTCTAACATGGTACCCAGTGAACTCATCTATAAATTGCATGGAAATTCTGATTTATAAAACACTGCTCCTCAGGGCTTTCCTCCATTCATTTTGCCTTTTGCTTTCTGGTTACTCTTAACACTTTGCAGAGGATCAAAGCAGCATTCATACAGCGTATCAATGCATGTCAGTGGTTTGCATTTGTAGATGTACAGAATCATGGCATCTTGTTAAAAAAAGGTGTGTCCTCAGGAAAGGTGCTGAAAAGACATTGAAATAAACTATGTCTTTTTTATGGATCCAATTGTGTTTTGAACAGACAAAATGCCCTACAACTTTAGAGTCTTGATAGCTGTATTGATGCTGGGTGATTCCAACTTCAGAAATCAAAAAATAGAAAGGAGACATTATAAGACCTATATGAGTTCTTCCTCCTGCATTTAACCCTAGTGTACTTCTTTGAGATGAGATGATGTATCCAAGTTGAAAGTCTGAAAGCCTGAGGGGTATGAGCTTTTGTTTTGGGATTTGATGTGAGATCACATGTAAAATTTTTGATTTGGATTATCTGTCCTAGTCTCCTGATTTGTATAATATGAGTAAGAAATACATATTTTAGGAGAACGAAACTTCCTAATTCAGTAGATTAACCTCTGTTGTTCCAGATATCTCTGTTCTTTACAAATTAATGGCATTAGACAATGTTACTAAGAAGAGAGTTAACTACTAATTCTGCCTTATCAACAGGAATATCTTATGAAAACATCAGGAGTGTTTCATCTGAAAAACTATGTTATTGAATCATTGACTCTAGGTAAGCATTAGTCAAAGAAATTTTCAATTTGAGAGTTGTAACATCTCATTTTCACTTAAAGCATTTATTAAGGCCCCATTTTTCCAGGGAAAATTTCAAGGTACTTTTGAAAGTTCCCTCTATTCTTTGAACTTACCTTTTTGGATAAAAACAACCCTCTAGATAAAGCAGACATCTTCAGAGGAATGAATCAGTTTCCGGAGGAATCAGGGCTCCCAGGA
Organism: Homo sapiens; assembly: GCF_000001405.40. Lineage (NCBI taxonomy): Eukaryota > Metazoa > Chordata > Mammalia > Primates > Hominidae > Homo > Homo sapiens. The sequence continues at coordinate 10,038,008 of NC_000006.12, read as the reverse complement.
CAGAGTCATGTGGAGAGGGAGTTGTGGGAACAGCCCTTTAAGGGGAAATTGCTAGCTTTTTTCTAATTAGTCAGAAGCTTAATAGAGGAAATAGGATTTCAGAAGTTGTTTGAGTGATGGAAACAAAAGAACTTGACTAAGTGGGGCATGTGGAACATGCCAGGTGTGAGGTGCAAGTCAGGAGAAGATGAGGGGAGCAAAAGCATGATAACATGTTTAAATGTAATAAGAAACACAAAGAGTGGATGAAAGGTTGTAGGGGCATTATATAAGTGAAACAGCATGGTATGTGTTCTTTGCCACTCATATGAAACTCTTCTCTACTCCAAATACAATTTTAGTGTAACCACCCCAGTCAGGCATAGTTCTTTAGCAGATTCTCCCTGTTCCTAAAGGACTCTAACTCCATTACTCTCAAAGCTACGTCCACAGTAATTTTTCAGGACACTTGAGAACTAGTTAGTACATTGAGGTTCTCCAAGAAATAAAGTGGGGGGGGGGCAGATTTTCTTTTATTCAGTAATTGAGCACCTGAATGAAAAATTACCAAACATTTATTGAGAAACACATTTATTTACTGTGCTAGAGACATGAGAACCAATGAAACAAAGTTCTTCCTCTTTACTCTGGGGGATAACAGAGGTAGCAATAGGCTTCATCTGCACAGACGTACACACGGGGGTAGCAAGCAGACCTGAAGGAAAGACATCCAGAGAGAGTGGGAGGTAGTATTTTAGCAGATCATTGGAGAGTTAGTGCCAATTAGCTAAAAGTAAAGAAATAATAAGAGATGAATATGGAAAGATTGAAACAATTTTTAAATCTATAATTAACATGTGGTCAACACATGGCTGTCAAAATGAGAGACAGTGGCAAATCCAAAAACACTGGTTTTACGGCTGGAAAGATGAGATTATGATGTTATATATGTTTGGTGAAGCTGAGTAGAGTGGTGGGATATTGAATGAAGATGAAAAGCTCTGGCTTAGATGGTACAGTGTTTGATAACTAGTAAGCTAGTGGGCTAATCGCTATGTCTCAGATATTGTTAAAGTAATAGTTAGTGGTTATTATTGTCTTCCAGCATCTGAATCTAGCTTAAAAGAGAAGCGTGCTTGGAGCTAAATTTGAAAGCTCATCACAACCATATGAAATGAAAACAAATTCCTATGATTATTGATGGCTGTGGATGACAGAGATGATATTTATTACCACAGACAGCTAAATTTCTATGTATATCAGAGGAGAAACAAGCAAAAACTTTTGAGAAGTAAATGTACTGACAGAAAATGCCTACATAGAAAACGTGGTGGTCAGGAGAAGCGACTTGCACAGGCAGCCTCCTTTGGGATGGGTTTGTAAGCTTCACCTCCCTATTTCTAATTTCCCCTCTTGTGGTGTTCTTAACAAGAGTCTCTCCATATTTTTCAAGAGTTTATTACTTTGGGAACATTACTTATGGGTATTTTCCGTAATCAGAAATCTTAATAGCTTTTCAAACTCTTTCACTTTTCTTTACATGTGGAAATTAGTTTAGAAATATCAGCCATTGATAATTCAAGAAGCTATAAAGTGGAGAACAATGTTTAGTTGGGAAAAAAGTAACTGGCTTTGGGAGCATAGATTCAGGGCAACTTAAATCAGTGCTCCCAGGTTGCAGCCCTTAAGCTTGACCCCAATAAACTCTCCATGTTTATGTATTTAAAAAATGTAACTAGCCTGGACTGATGCTAATATTAGTTATTCAACATTAGATGGCAAAAAAAATTTTAAAAGTTGTCATGTTAGCCTCCCTCATGGTCCATCTGCAGAAGTTCTGGGATGAATGCATATGGTTGATTCCGGGGTCAGGAACCATGCACTGACTGTCCTTCTAACCTCTCTCAATCCTGCCTGATAGAGGAGTTCCTTAGCCCTTTTTTTTTTTGAGACAGAGTCTTGCTCTGTGGCCCAGCTGGAGTGCAGTGGCACAATCTCGGCTCACTGCAAGCTCCTCCTCCCGGGTTCACACTGTTCTCCTGCCTCAGCCTCCAGAGTAGCTGGGACTACAGGTGCCCACCACCACGCCCAGCTAACTTTTTGTATTTTTAGTAGAGACAGTGTTTCACCGTGTTAGCCAGGATGGTCTCGATCTCCAGACCTCGTGATCCACCCTCGAAGATCCCAAAGTGCTGGGATTACAGGCATGAGCCACTGCGTCTGGCCCTTCACTGCTTTTGAAGAAAAGATTTTTAGGGAAATCCATGAAGAGTGTATGATATCAGAGAGTGTTACTAGTTAGAGGGAAGATAATTGTTGAAGAGGGTCACTGAGAGTGGAAGCATTTATTTATTTTTATATTTCTGTTGGTAAGAGGTTTGTGTATACGATGACATGCTCAAACAGTACCATAGCATATATAAAGGCTTCTGGCTGTTCAAAATTCCTCACTGTTTGTTTGTTTTTAAACAACACTATCGCCCTTCAAATTCCAAGAATTTATAAGAAATTCTTCTTTTATTTCTTGATCAAAAATGTTGTCAACTGAGTGCCTTTGATCTCAGCTGGATATGGGCCTGTCAGATTAAATAATTCATACTAACTTGTGAATGACTAGTAGGAAAGATCTGCCAAAAGATATTTGCTCCTTAAAAATTGAATTTGTTAACCAGATCAAGCCTGTAACTGGCTATACATATATATATATGTGTATATATATACACATATATGTGTATATATATACACATATATATGTGTTTATATATACATATATATACACATATATATATATTTCTTTGAGGGGAAGAGTGCTTAGGGTGCTTTAGATAAGACTTAATTTATTAGGTTATTTATCTCTAAAGCTATTTATTTCCCCTCCTTTTTAATTAGTCTATCAGGAAATAAAGTTTATACAGTAAATGTTTCGCAAAGATAATTGCACATATACTTTGTCTCCTTTTTGTAAGCAATATATTGATGTAAAGGAATTTTTGAAAAAAAATAATTGTCTCATCATATGTTGATGATTTTTTTTTTTTTTTTTTTTTTTTTTTTTGAGACAGAGTTTCGCTCTTGTCGCCCAGGCTGGAGTGCAATGGCACAATCTTGGCTCACTGCAACCTCCACCTCCTGGGTTCAAGTGATTCTCCTGCCTCAGCCTCCCGAGTAGCTGGGATTTCAGGTGTGCACCACCACGCCCAACTAATTTTCATATTTTTAGTAGAGACGGGGTTTTACCATGTTGGCCAGGCTGGTCTCCAACTCCTGACCTCAGGTGATCCACTCGCCTCCCTGTGCAGGGATTACAGGCGTGAACCACTGGGCCTGGCCTTGATGATTTTTAATTACATGATTTTTCTTCCAATCTTTGCTTATAGTCATAGGCACATTCTGATGTAGTTGCAACCATAACACAGTTATGCTTGAGAATCCAGTGATGTAATGCCTACAAGATGTAACACACTGTTAATAGACATAATAGCTGGTTTATGTCAAATGGCAGGCACATGGATAAATACTTTACCTGCATTTTAAAATTTAGTCCTCACAATGGCACTGCGGAGTGGATAGAATCATTGTCCTCATTTTCTGTTCAGGAAACTGAAGTGCTGTGAGGTTAAGTAATTTGCCCAAGGTTACCCAGCAGGTAAGATATGAAGCCAGGCAGCTTGAAGCCACAGCTTCCTAATGCTTCTTATGATTGTTAATAAACTAACCCTGATTTTCCACAACAGTATGGGCACTGGGCATAATCTTGAACCTTTTTAAAGTTATTAGGTGAAAAAGGTATCCGTTGCTATCTTAATTTGCCGTTATTACTAATGAACTTTTTTTCTTATTTGTGCATGAATTCTGCTTTTTTACTTTTGTCAATTGTAGGTTTGCAAACATTTTAAGTAACAAATAAAACCTTTGGAAAGATTAGCATGGTTTTATGCAATGTCCCTATATGGATAAGAGAGTTTGTCACTTTATTCCCTCTTCATGGTTCAATTCCATGAGCAGAAGTGAAAACATTCTACCAGAGAGAATTGCAGTCTTATAGTTTTGTATGTCCACAGTGGTTTAAATATCTATACATTTAGCATGAAGAGAGATAGAGAGAGACAAAATACGTGACTTAATTACAATTGCCACAATGAATTCCGAGTTGATACTGCTTCTGCCACTTCAGTTGACCACAATTTTAAGCTTGGCATCGCCTGAAAGCTTGAGGAATGTATTTGCAGTAATTGCCAGGGCACTTCATTGTTCCTCTGTATACATAAACAGGAGGCTGTGATCAGAGTGGTCATGCTTGAGCTGTTATCTGAAATTCACTTTTGCTATAAGGATTGACTAATCTGGTTCCTACTGACAGCGGTTTCCATTTACTGTATTAGCTTTCTCTCACTTCAGTGCCACATAGCTCCAGTTAGGAGAGGAAAGCAAAAATTGTTAAAAGTAGTAGACGTGTTAGTCATCACTTATCAAACAGCGCAAACATCCAGTGTCATTGCAATCACTGTCCTTGTTTTTCTTCGAGTGAAAAGAGAAGTTAAACAATATCCATTTGTCGAGGGCACCATGCCGCTCTGCGATCCACACAGGTTAAATGGTGAGGCTGCCGATTAATGATTCAGTGGGAAATAGTGGATGCCAGGAACTCTTGCAACAGCTCCCCTCCCTCCCCCATGCTCTGCCGCTTTTGCATAGCTTGGCCTTTCTACCCCTCACCCCTGCCCTGTCATTATCTGCAGATGTTATCTGCCCAGCAGATGTTGTAACCTACAGAGACCTCATCGTTCTCACCCTGCTGGGCTCAGCCTTCCCCACCCACTTCTGCACTGGGTCTCAGGTCCCTTTGAAAGGGAGCACTGAGGCAGGAGAGATGGATTGAAATGCAAAACCTGGACTTTATTTGAACATGAGGTATACACTGCAATTTTTTGCAACCACTATTTGATGATAGTTATTTCAACACAGTTAAAAAAGTAAATATTTATCTTATATGTCTTAAGAATTGGATTCCATGCAATAGACCACAAGGAAATTTTTTTTCTACCTTGACTACACCCATGTTTCCTAAAATGAGACATTTTTATGAAAGATGGGGCCGAAAGAACAGTAGTTTTTCAATCCCTCAGTAGTTACCACAATCAAACCATTATTGCAGTTAAGAGATTTTTTTAACGTAAGATTTTTGTGGGATAATAAGTCTGATAGGTGAGAAAATGAGGTAACATTATACTGCACCTATTTAGTATATGACATGGAAAAAATATGAACGTGTTTAGTATCTACTATGAATCAAGTGGTATAAAGCAAAGACCCTAGCCAATGGCAAACAAAAAGCAGTTATTTTACCCCAAACCTAAAGGTAAAAGTTGAGATGCGTAATTTATACAAGTGAAAGGTGGCACTAAAAACATTTTTAAAAAGTAAAATGAAGCTGGGTGGCTCTGAAAAACGAAAGAAAGAAAATCAATTTTTCAGTCTGGGAAAAATATGGATATACCTTTGAGAAGAAAAATATTTTAACGTGATATCTTAGTGAGAATACTAAATTATAAGCTTTAATTTGCCTTACAGCTTTTATTTCTCCATCTAAGTAATTTTGATTGTTTTATATCTTTCTAAATATAGATAAAATAAACCAAGAAGAAAAGTATGTAAGAAACAGAAAATATATATCAAGGCATACTTCACAAAATTCAATGTAAAATGACCTTTCCATGCGTGATTTACCATTCTCTGTTTAAAGTAATCTCTGTCTGGAGAAGGGAAGCCATTGTTGAATTCTTAGGAAAGACGATGGCTCCAGAACTAAACATCACCCACAGTGATAAGAAGTTTCTGCTAGTCGCTCAGCACCTCATCAGTTCTTTCCATTTTTACAGAACGGTGTTCATGGGATGCCTGGGACCAAGGCTGCTTCAGATTCCAGACGCAATCCACCAGGGTTGCTGTAGAGACTGTAATTTGTTCAAAGGAAATCTAAATTAAATTAATCTAAAATACCATTTTCAGGTTTTCTGTTTCTTCCAGGCAGCAGCAAGAGTTTTGCTAAAGGCCCATAAAGTAAAGAGAATTGTTAAATAATATTCCCTTTGATAAAACAAAATTGTTCTTAGAAATGTTTGGAAATATTTATACCATATGTCTCTTAGATAAGATCACAAGTGTTAAGTAACGTGGTAACTTTTAGCAGGTTAACAATCACAGCTTAAATTTCATAAGATTTCTGGGTGACCTTTGTAACCCAGAATCAAAGCCTTTGGTATTTGCTTTGGCGTACTTCTAAACAATAGGCCCCATTAGCAATTTTCTCAGATATTCTCCAGTTTCATATCTGCAAGTGGTGATCAATTTTGTAAAAACATACATTAGCCATTAAATTGATATTTCCCTTTGGGAAGCATTTTAATAAACATTACATTTTCTCAAATAAGAGACCTTAGTTCTTTTATCATAATACTTTGGAGGGCCATTTATTGTGAAGGAAGAAAAAAAAATGAACGCTAGGATTTAGGTTTAAATACACATAATTTATCGGAACGATTCCAAGTCCACTTTGTGGAGATAGAGTTCCACGTGATACTTTGCAAATGTTTTGCTTAAGAGTTTATTTTTTATGTTTACGGATTGTCTCAGGTTATTATTTCTGAATCTAGTTTCTTTATTTTTCCAGGTCTATCACTAACTGGTAGTGTGATCTTGGGCATTTAGCTGAGTCTCTTGGGGCCTTATTTCTCAGATATCGTATGTTGCAGGAATTGACTACTTGGTCCTAAGATCTTTTCTAGCCTTGAAAGGCTTTGACACCATGGTCTCTAAGTTCAATTCTTGTCTTCCCCTAGCAGCAGTCCATTTGTTCCCAGGCACAAAGAACAGTTCAAAAGGAAACAGTACAAGTGTCGCCACCTATAGGTAGAAAATATATTACAGAAAAAGGATAATTTCATCCAGGTAGAGAATACCGTAAAAAATAGGAGTTCATTTTTACCCTTACAAATTCCAAACTCTACCCACAACAGTATTACCTGAATGTTTCTCTTTAATTTTCTTCTTCAATATTACTGTAAGTTTTCATCTATATTATAGCTGCATATTTAGCTTTATCTTCCTTATGCATATATAAAATATATGACCAATGGATCAAGATTTGACATTTTACAATGTATGAAGATTTTCATGACTTCAACATCACTAGCACTTTTATGAGCTACGTGGTTGTGCTCTTAATGTTAAAATTTCAGGTTAGGTACCTAAGAAGAAAAGGTGTGTATGAACCATCTGGAGGAAAGTTTGATACATTTTCCAATGGAAGATATTGTTGTAGCTTTATGGATTCAATTTTTAATGAAAACAAGCAAACAAAAATGATCCTAGTATTTCTAGCATTAAGATACAGTAGATAAATTAAAGCTCAGCTTCAACTCTTCTCCCTGCTTATGGCTAAGGGAAAATCTTCCTTCAAAGAAAAAAAGAACAATTAGAAGAAAAAAAAACTTTGATAAATTAAGAAACCATCTCCCAGATAAACTGACACTCCATATGCAGAGGAAACAATTTCCATATATGTTATAAGAAATGTGTTAAATCAACTAACATTGATATAACTTCAAGCAATTAGGAGACCGCTAATAATGATATGAGTCTTCAGCTGTAAATAATTATGCTGCCCCAAGGCTATGCTTTAATTCTTGGCTTGCTGTATCTATAAACAATAATCAAACTGCAAAGCAAGTTGTGTTGTTTTTGTTCACAGTTTGTGAAATGATTTTTATACCCTACAGTGATGCTGATGGCTATTTTGACCTTCAAGAACTCCGGCCCGTGAGGCTAAGAGCTAATGTGTACTTTCATCGATTTGAGTTGGAGGCACACAGCGGGTTATAGTGCCTGTTCTCCATGAGCTCAAAAGCTGCTATCGTCAATCAGTGTGCGATGTGAAAGGGGGCTTGCTGCTGAGACTCAATAAATGGGGACATTAGGAGGAAATGTTATAATTGCTGCTACCCACATCTTGTTAATGAGTAATGTACAGTTAGACACCATGCAATTGCAGCTAAACTGTTTATACAATTTATTCTTATGTTGCAACTAACATTTAACATAATGAAGTATCATAATTGCAGCCATTAAAGTCAAGATTAAGATTTGTTTAATTAGAATTAAGAAAATGTAAAATAGAAAACTACTTTCAAATGTTGGGTATACAGAATGTATCCAGTGGTATGCAGAGAAAAAACTTGTAGGAAGCCAGTAGTAGTCATTGTGCACATAAAATTGTTCGTTGGAGGTCTCTTCTTGGGGCATTTTTCCCCCAATACTCTAGTCAAAAGTATAGAGAAAACAAAATATAAATGGCAGTAAGTTGGCCATGTATAAATATAGTGTGTTATTATTCAGATCGTTAGAGTTAAATTTTAGAATTTACATTACCCCTAGGCTAAACAAATAATATCTTAAAACACACAACTCATATTACCATCAAGGCAAGTTACCAAATGAATTAGGGAGGAAATAAGCCCCTGACTTTGTATAGGAAATGTCATAACTTTGTAAAACCAAATGGACATTAAACCTCTATTTTAATTATCTACATGTCTAAACGTAGGCACTTATATAATACGATATTTTTACATAAGCGATGGGACAAAACATGGTTAATGGAATGCTTTGAGGAAACATGGCTTGTCCAAATTCATTAAGTGAAATCGTTTCATTTGGGTCACGTCACGTTTTCCTTCCCCTTCCTATATTGTTAGGTGCTTAAAAGTCCCAAAGTGCTGCCAGCAACAGAATTATTTTGGACTTTCTGAGATCTGCTTTTCACCTTCTCATGTCACTATTTCTAAGCAACTCAAACTCATTTTTTTTCCCTAGGTTCACATTTTGTCCTCAACTTTCTTTACTTTGGGTGAGAATTTCTCTTGTCCCCACAGAATCTGTCAATATTAGGCTTTGCTATAAATGGGGTCCAGCAGAGTGTTAGCCTTTCAGGGAAGAGATCTGAATTCTTTGAAACTGTGTTCATCTAATTGCATGATTTATTTGATGTCTGACATCTTGTGTCTTTGTTTCTCCGTTAGATGGAAGAAGTTAACTATGTCTGTCCTAGACTCTTCATAAAAGTTTTGAGAAAATCTAATGCCTTAGTATGGTTGAAGGCACGTTGAAGTTTTAATGTGTCAAAGAAATCCAACTTGTGGTTCAGTTCATTGAGACTGGCCCGTACTCATTTCATTGGTTGCCGACTGTAACAGAAAATGGGGTTAAAAGAACAGGGTAATATTTCATTACTCTCAAAAGAAACCCTTTTTTCTCCCTTTTTTTTTTCTGGCATTTTATACCCATCACATTGAGGAGGTTCTCGGTATGAATGAAATAATCAGTTCCATGAATTAATGATATCCAGTCTTTGTTTTTAAACTTGAAACCAAATTTCAACAAGCACTGCCAATTATCTCAAAAGTAGAGGTCATAGGTCCCTTCTCACTTATTCTTACTACGCTGTAAAATATGATAAATGCAAAAAAAGTAAGCAATGATTTAATCTTTGTGGCAATAGATAGTCCAAGATAATGGTGTTGAAGAACTCTATCTGATTGGCTTGCAGTTTCAGTGTGGTATGCAATTGTTGGTATCAGATTTCTTGACTTTACTGTGGAATTTATTTTTATAAGCTTTTCCCTTTCCCTCCGTTATAAATTTAAAATGACAGGTAACTTTTTGTATATACTTAAAACGTATAAAATTTGAGTTTATCAACTTGTATAAGTACTTAAGAACTTCAGCTTACGAATGCAAGTAAGTTCACTTATTGAATCATTCAGCAGCGATTTGTTGAAGGCTCTAATGTGTATCAGCCACTGTGCTAGATACTGGATATAGGAGCACATGAAGAGGAGCAGGGTGATTTTTTAGAGATGATGAGTTAACTTTGGAAATAACACCTTTGAGCTTCCTGTGAGACCTCTAAAGGATTGGTAGGCCAGTTGGTGTAAGAACTAGTGCCTTTCATATGGGTTTCAAATGTGCACTTCCAATTTTATTGTGGAAAAATGGACAGTGTTCAATATGTTGACATTATAAATTATTCCTACTATTATATACGTAACTAAAAGATAGTTGACAATTATTTTAAATTGTGGTTGTTGAAATGGCATACATTAGTATATATTCTGAGCTTATCCAGGTCTGCATTAAATGAGTATTTGAGTAAAGACATTTGTTTTAATCTAACTACAGTTAGTGTTTAAACCAAGAACTGGCTCTTACCTTCCGCTCTTCCTTTTTTCCCCTCCCTGCTTTCTACCTTGAATCATCAAAGGTTCTAGGTATCTAATATGTAGGTAGCCACCAGCCACCTGTGAGAATGGAGAACTTGAAATGTAGCTAGTGCTACTGAGGAATTGAATTTCACGTTTTATTTAATTGCAATTTATTTTAATTCAATTTTGAAATCGGAAGTAGAGCAGACTATTTTCCACTAAACACAACTTCGTTGTTTGGTAGGAATACATTTCTTGTGAATGGCTGAATTGTGTAAGATATTACTGTTGTATTGTGAGCCTTTTGGGCACGTGGGCTGTTTCACAGAAACACATCACTGATCTAGTCTTCTAGATTAGAAGAAGGTGTGTCACCAGTTTCACCAAGAATGGCAATTGTAACTTGCTGCAGCAGAGCTAATTGGAGAAGCTGGTTTCTTTGCTGTATAAACAAATTTTTAAGATGGCAAAGTTGGAAACATAAAGAGACATATTCAGAAAGCATATAGCGAATTTGATAAGAAGTTTTCTGTCAACAACACCACCCACAAACCCCACTTCTAGCTGGAGTGAGAGTAAAATATATTATTATTTTAGTTATGGAAATGTTGTTAGAATATTATGAGGATAAGGCTAAGCAATATTTCATACAAAGTAAAAGGTCTTCAGTTAAGCTACCAAATAATTATTTGTCTGTAGAATATAAGACTTAACTAAAGACCAATTTATTCAACATTTTAAAAACTTCAAGTACTATTTTTTAGCTTTGGATGAGTTGTGTGATATGAGACACTGCCCTTTCAATACTTTGCTACATTTTGTCTCAAAGGACTTCCAAATTTGTAAATAAATGTTAATTCATAGCTTTTAAAATTTATATTTTTCTTCTTACATCTATCAAAGAATTTAACCTAGATATTAAAATATTAGCTTTTTTATTATGATGGACAGTGTTCTAACTGTATTTGATAAAAAATCAAATTTTGCTGGCATATTAAAGCAAAATACTATTTCCCTTATTTCTTTCACTGTATATTTGTGCAAACATTTCTGAAATCGATTCTGTGAAGACTGTCATGGATATGGTTACTAAAATCATTCCATATAGATTTGCAAATGTCAGGGATTATCTCCAGTTTGTGCAACTTTGGAAAGAGACAGAAGGCAATGAATTTAATGATCTTGTGTTCTTTTCTGGTGCTCATTGGTGGAATCATGAAATAATTTTACAAAGACTTACTGTGCTGTTAACTCCAATAAAAAGAATGCTCAATGTATTCAATATCAAAAATCAAAAGCAAAAATACATGTACCCCAGAAATATATATACCTACTATATACCCACAAATATTTTTAAAAAAGCAAAAATGGCAATGTGATTTATATTTTCTCACCAAACTACATTGCATATAAATGAGCCATATCTAAAGCTTCTAAGAAAGGAAAAGCTTATTTGTGATCTCAGTAGGCAAGTCTAAGAATTTACGTTGAAATCAATAATAACGACTTCATGGTCAGTAAAAATGATTTTATACTTTTTTTCTAACATAAATCAATATGCAGAATATTTTAATTGTAATCAACAGCATTGTGTAAATTGGCTAAATAAACTATAAGAAAATTGTAGAACGCTTTGTTGGTATTGACAAATTTAAAATTGCATTTCAGTTTATGCAATACATTTTTGAAGTCAATGTTAATAATACTGAGTTGACACAAGAGTTAGTGAATTTGCTCAACTTGGACAGACATGATTCTGAAACTGATATGCTTCTGATGCAAGACAAATAAGTCTTTCCAAAAGAGAGGAATCAGTTTTGTTAATTTAGTTATAAAAACTGTAGAAAAATGATTTTTTGGTATTTGATTTAGTTACTAAAAACTTGTAAGATTATTGGAAAAACATGGTTATGTGAATTTACGTTTTCAACTTTAAATTTCATGAAATCTAAATACAGTTTATTGAGAGGTGAAGAAAATGGTTAAAGGGTATAAATTTTCAGTTATAAGATGAATGTTCTGAAGATCTAATGTACAGCATGGTGACTAGCTAATAATTTTGTATTGTTCACTTGAAATTTGCTAAGAGGGTATCTCTTAAGCGATCTCACCATATACACATACCACACACACACACACACACACACACACACACATTGGTAGCAAGTGTGGTGATGGATGTGTTAATTAATTTCATTGTGGTAATCGTTTTGCAGTGTATATGTACAAGTCATCACATTCTACACTTTGAATATATATAATTTTTGTCAGTTATATCTCAATGAAGCTGGAACTAAATAAATACAGCTCAATATTTTCAATGAAAACTAATATATGATCTAAGTGTAAAATACATACCTGGTTTTGGAGATTTCATACAAAATAAGAATATTAAACAGCTTGTTAATTTTTTATGTTGATTACCTGCTTAAATGATTTTGAAATATTGAGTTAAATAAAATATATTATTAAAATTATTTTTAACTTAAAATATCCTTTTACAAATGTGGCTACTAGAAAATTTAATATTACATTTATGGCCCACTTTTTGTTTCTATTAATGTCATTCTAAGTAAATCCTAACATTCTTCATTTGTTATCATTTATATTGATGTCTAGGCTTGGTTTAACAAAAATTATTATTCTTTTCGTGATGAGGAAGACTTCTTAGAATCTTTCACGAGTTATTTGAGCTGCAAAAAAAAAAAAAAAAAAAAAGAAGGAGCTGCCTAGCTCCTTCTAAATTGGCCTAATTCATATATTACAGCTGCCAGTTAGATTGCTAATACCTACAATATGTGTTCTTGTTCTCCTTTGTTTTGTTATACTATGTTGGTATTAGAAGAAAAACTATAATTTTTTCCAATATTATGGTCTTATTAGAACACTAGAATGAAGCAGATAACCATCTGTTAATAGTGTTAATAGTGTGTGTTTGCTTTTATATGTGTATATCTATATCTGGTTCAATTCTTGGCTACATTATTTAAATTTTATCTCCCTCTACTTGTTTGAAAGTATGAATTCTAGCATATAACCACAGTTTCCTCTCTATTATGGTAAATAGGTCATTTGTGATCTGAACTAGACCCATCTTGACCATCAGCCATTTCTAGATTACCATGTAATTATCAGCCACCTTACATAGAGTTAGCTGAGAATGGCTGGTACGGCCTGCTTGTAGGATCTATGATCAGTAGCCTGCAGGTGAATTTGTAGCTGGTTTCTACGGATTATCTCACTAGGGTTTGGGAAAGTCTTGGAGATAATAGATCTGTGATTGCTTTTTCTTTGAGTTCAGTCTCAGATTCTCTGCAGTGGAGTTACGCGAGTCTGATTTTGTCTGGGCCATCTTTGATATCCTTGCTGGGGTCAGAATGAACCAAAATGCATACCTAAGGAGCATCTCCTGAATACATTTCTTGTTAATGTTTTATATTATCTGTCAACTGACCAGTGAGACTGCAAAAGGAAAACTAGGAGTTTCTGATATTCGCTTTTTTTTTTTTTTTCATGGAGAGAATTAACAGATTGGCTACACCTCTTGACAAGAGGAAGGTTTTTGGAATGAAAGTGAGGTCCAAGTCCTAGATTGGCAGAGAGAATCTGCTAATCATAGCATCATATCTGCTGATCTGCTGAATAAGATCAGCAGATGAAAGAAATAAAACTTAGCAGGAGGCAACTTGTGTACAACAAACAGGTGCACTATTGTAGGTACACTGAATTGGGTTATTCACTGAGGATCTGAATTATGTTAGCAGTCATATTGCTGTTGATTTAAGAGACACAATTGTCATGAAAGAAGAAATGGTCGTTGTAGTAAACAATCTGAAGCCACAATAGAATTGGCTGTAAATTTTCTGTTGTCAGTGAACAAAGCAAGTATGATTACACTCTCTTATTGTATACATGCCTAAGAAGGTAGATCCTATTCTATGACTCTATTTTCTATTTCAGATTCTTGTGGCTAATTTAAACCTGGTTTGACCTCCATGAAAACATGATATAGGAAGAGGGCAAAACCTGTACCTCAGTAGACCTGTGGGATGTCCCTGGATGATCTCTACCATAAGGAATCACTAATGTCTTGGCCACTGTGGTATTACTGTCATCTCCATGACCATCATGGTTGAAAAACTCATTTTATTAGTGAGTGGTTGTAGCCTCATTCACTCCCACACATTCATTCATTTATTCTTTCAGCCAATACTTCAATAACACTCAGCATATGACATGCCTGATGACAGGCACACTGTCTCTGCCCTTGAAGGACTCAGTGAGGTGGAGGAGACACAGGAAAACCCCAAAATACAGGAACATTATAAGCACTGTGATTGCTGTGTGAGGATGATGATGGTGAGGGCACAGGAGAGGAACTCTTCAGTGACAAGAAGTCAGGCAACACTTTAGCAAGGATTAGGTATTTGAACTGAAACTCAAATGACGTCCAGAAGTTTGCCAAACACACAAGGTAGTTGAGTGCAGCCTAGGCAGCAGGAACAGCATGAGAAGAGGTTAAAGAGTCACAGCTGCAGGAGGTACAACATAGCCAGAGCCTTGAATGGTCAAGGGCGTGGTGGGAAGGAGGCTTGAGAGGCAGGGCTGGGCTGTTGAAGGGCCTTAGAAACCATAGTAGGGAGTGAGGTCTTGGCTATGTAGATGCTGAGCAGGAGTGTAAGTTTTTAAGTAGAGGAGTGACCTGATCATATTTATGTTGTAGGAAAAGTGTTTCTGCAGAAGTGTGGAGAATTAATTTGAGGGGAAGGCAGAGGTGGTGGGCCCACTGTGTAACCAGGGGCCACGAGGCCAGGCCAGGTATCACAATCAGTGAGGGTGGGAGAGTGCTGGTCTAAATGCTTTACAACAGGTTCTCCAAAAGAAAAGGTAAATTGCAGGTTTGTAGCATTTGTTGATTTTTTATGGTGTAAACATTGTCACCATGTTCGATTTCAAGCTACAGACACACTGTCGCTACTGAACACACAGCCGCATGCCATTATATAGTATTTCCACCAGACACAATGGGGCAGGATGATCTCAAGCGCATAGGTAATAGTAAACTGGAGTAAAATAATTAGGAGGTGATGAGTTTTAACCATTTAATGCCTTTTTAATCTAATTTATTTAATTTTAAGTTTGTGTAATTTAATTTTTCTCTTTTTCTTTGAGATACAGTCTCTCCCTGTCACCGAGGCTGGAGTGCAGTGATATGATCTCAGCTCACTGCAACCTCCACCTGCTGAGCTCAAGTGGTCCTCCCACCTCAGCCTCCGAAGTAGCTGGGACTGCAGGTCCGTGCTACCATGCCCGGCTAATATATTTCATGAGAATTTAACAATCCATTTTCCTGCCTGGTACAAAGGTCTAGCCAACTACTAAATGGGAGAAAAATAGAAATTTTTAAAAAGCGTTGTTTATGATTGGACAGCTGAGTATATTAACCAAAATAGAAGGAAGTTAAAGGAAGAACATATATCTGGTGGGAAGATAATGAGCACATCCCAGTAGAGTGAAGTTAATTTGGTGAGCGTTTATGAATACCTGTATATTCGAGGAACTCTGCTAGGCTTGGACATAGAATAGTGAACGGGAAGAACAGCAAGTACACAGTTCCTTTTCTCAAGGAAACTGCAGCTAAAGGCTCTAGACAAATAAACAGGTTTTTATAAAAGTTGTATGATACGATTAGCTTGGGATGATACGAGAGTACCTTTGTATAGAACCCAGACTTGTGGGTGGGGTTTTGGAGTATGTACCAGAGGAAGTGACATTACACTGAGACCAGAGAACAAGTAGGCTTGGTTCTGATGGTGAGCATTCCAGGCCAGACAGCATGAAGGGGATGGGGAAAATGACACAGGTCATTGACCAAGGCGAGGAAAAAGGGAGAGGGTTTGATAGAGAGTTAGGATGTCAAAGTGGTAGGAATTGGTGTTTGATTAAAGATGAGTGAGAAGTTTGGGAGGCTGAGGCGGATGGATCACTTGAGATCAGGAGTTCGAGGTCAGCCTGATCAACATGGTGAAATCCCTTCTCTTCTAAAAATACAAAATTAGCCAGGTGTGTTGGCGCAGGTGTGTAATCCCAGCTACTTGGGAGGCTGAGGTGGGAGAATTGCCTGCATCTGGGAGGCAGAGGTTGTAGTGAGCTGAGATAGTGCCACTGCACTCCAGCCCAGGCAACAGAGTGAGACTCCATCTCAAAAAAAGAAAAGAAAAAAAGGTGGGCAGGGCATAGCTGAACAAAAGGCAGCAGACAACTTCTGCAGACTTAAATGTCCCTGTCTGACAGCTCTGAAGAGAGCAGTCATTCTCCCAGAATGGCATTCAAGCTCTGAGAACGGACAGATTGCCTCTGCAAGTGGGTCCCTGACCCCTTTGTAGCCTGACTGGAAAACACCTCCCAGTAGGGACCGACAGATGCCTCATACAGGCAGGTGCACCTCTGGGAGGAAGATTCCAGAGGAAGGATTAGGCAGCAAAATTTGCTGTTCTGCGGCCTCCGCTGGTGATATCCAGGCAAACAGCGTCTGGAGTGGACCTCCAGCAAACTCCAGAAGACCTGCAGCTGAGGGGCCTGACTGCTAGAAAGAAAAAAAAAAAAAGGTGAGTGAGAAAGATTCTGTGCTGCTTATAGGAAATTTAAGTGGAAATTTTCTAGAGGAAGATAGAAACATGGGTTTGGTATTTCATAGACAAGTTTTTGTGGTTTTTCGTTTTGTTTTGTTTTGTTTGAGATGGAGATTCACTCTTGTTGCCCAGGCTGGAGTGCATTGGCGTGATCTAGGCTCACTGCAACCTCCACCTCCAGGGTTGAAGCGATTCTCCTGCCTCAGCTTCTCAAGTAGCTGGGATTACAGGCACCTGCCACCATGCCCGGCTAATTGTCTGGAAGTAAGGTTGAGTGTCATCAACATATAGATGGAATTTGAAGCTAGGGTGTGAATAATGCCACTCTTGGGAGTGTGGAGTGGGAAGAGCAGACCATGGTGGCATGCCCATGAGGCTTAGGAAACATTAACATTTAACAGGGTATCTGATTGGCCTTCTGGAGAGAAGTTCAAGTTAACACAATGATATTAAAGCTATATTCATGACGCTACTGATGACATCTCTCTTCTCTCCCCTGATCTACGTAAATGACATGGAGTAAAACACCTGAAGTCACCCCAAGATTGCTTTTAGTAACACTGACCATTTCATTTCCTGAGCAACAATATTTCCCCAGATGTCCAGATAGACACAATCAATTTTTAAAAAATTGAACACCTACTATGTGCAGGGCCCTGTGCTGGAGAGAAGAACATATGAGTGATGTCCTGATAGTCATTTAGTTCCCTCTGCAGAGTTTCTAATTGCAGAATAAAAGAGCAATATTTAGTGAAGAACTTGCTGCCCTGAATGAAACCCTTAACGTCCTTACACATCTCCCCAGTGCAGTGCTATAAGAACGGGAATTTTTGGACAACTTTCATTGGGTCATGTCTTTCTCATTCTATTCCTTTTCTGTTTTCTTAATCTTCATCTCTTAAATTATTTTTTTATCATCTTAATCCTCCCATGTATACCCACACCATGGAGACAGAGAAACTTTTTTTGGTCAAACAATCATGTATGTATTGAAATTGTTCCTGTTAGACTCAACAGTAGTCTAAAGTTAGGAAGAAAAAAGGGGTCACTGTCTAATGTTCCCTATGAGGAAACAGTAGCTGGCAAATTCACGTATTGCCTTTCAGTCTAGATCCGGATTCAAAACGCTGATTGTTTAAATACCCTTTTCTTTACAAGGAGGCTTTACAAGGATACATATTGAAACATTTCAAGAGGGCCTCTTATTAAAATCCATACTTCTAGGAAATTACATTTTAAATCAGACTTGTTGAAGTGCTAAAGGAGCTTGCTGTACTCACTTTTTGCTACACTATGCCATGTAACCTTATGTAAAGAATTAATAAATGGACATAAATACAGTAACAGGCTAATTATAGTAATAAGCTAAAAATTATAACAGGCTAGTACTTTGCTTTAACCGGTTTGAAATAAACTCTGGAACTCTGATAAATAATATTTATACCAACACAAATAACGTCTAGTAATCAGATAGCATACTAGACATCCTAAGTATTTTCACACAAGTACATATCCTCACAGCAATCCTGAGAGTTAATCAAGTCAGCTATCACTGGCCCCATTTTACAGATGAGTAAATTAAGGCTCAGAACGATTGTCACATATAGAAGGGTGACAGAGCTAATGAACAGGGCTAGAACTTGTGCTTTATACTTTGAGAAGTCCAGGAAGACTTGAAGCAGATGGGAAAGTAGACTTTGTTGGCCCGGCGCGGTGGCTCACGCCTGTAATCCCAGCACTTTGGGAAGCCGAGGTGGGCGGATCACGAGGTCAGGAGATCGAGACCATCCTGGCTAACATGGTGAAACCCCGTCTCTACTAAAAATACAAAAAATTAGCCGAGCATGGTGGTGGGCGCCTATAGTCCCAGCTACTTGGGAGGCTGAGGCAGGAGAACGGCAAGAACTCGGGAGGCGGAGCTTGCAGTGAGCCGACATCGTGCCACTGGACTCCAGCCTGGGCGACAGAGCGAGACTCCCTCTAAAAAAAAAAAAAAAAAAAAAAAAATGGTTGTTGTTGGCTTAATGGACTTAGAGGTATAGGCAGTGGAATTGTAACCATGTTACTTAATTATGACTGTATCAATTTTTGAAACCTATCAGAGGTTTGGGTCCTGAATTTTCTATTCCCATGAATATACTGTCCATGGCTAAGAAAAGTGGTGATAAAGAGTTTAAGTAAAAAAACAAAATAAAGCAAAAATTATCTGAAATATTCAACTGAGGACGTGTGAATGATGTCTGTAGAAGAACTATTTTTAAATTCCAGAGGGCAGATGGCAACTGACTCATGCAATTGTTTAATTCCAATTAAGCATTCTCTTTTTTAATAGTCTCCTTCTGAGGTAAAACTCTGTGGCTGCTGGATTTGAAGCAAGTCCACACCAATCAATATCAATCTGCTGCCAAATTTTATTAAATATCTCTCTGATACCTATTTACAACCAAGAAAATAATTTCACTGCCAAGGGATTGTAAACGTGTGAAAAGAACCTCTGACAGCTTACCTCACTCACTGTCTGCAGTTCCGAGCCTGGGTGCTATGGCCGGGAGACTAAGATGAAGGACATAATTAAGGAAACATATGAAGGCTAGCACTGCGCTTGAGATTAATTAGCTGTGCGTCAATAATCTCATCAATATCCGATTAACAAATGACACATTGCCCAATGAAACATATTGATTCATGCACACTCCTCCCTGTTAATAAATTGAAGCTGCTTTGCTAAATGAGAAAGCTGACAAAATAACAGGCTGCTAAGACTGCCCTGCTATTGTCATAAAAAACATAAAATTAGCCTGAAGTATATAGTACTTAATTTAGGAGGACTGTCATTCCACTTATGAAGCTTGTGAAGGAATGACTAGAAAAGGGAACAGAATTTCTTGGAGAACCTGCTCCAAAGGACTAGGGGAATTTCCCAAGGGCATGCATTTGAAATCAGTATTATGCATATAGATGACCCTAAGCTCCCATGCTTTTCTTAGTGGTGTGCATGAAAAAAGTTTTGTTTTGCTGTTTTTTCTTTTTAAAGGATATCATTCAAATTATGAGAGTTGTTTCAAATTTTGGAAGTAATGATTCAATATTCTTCTATATGAGATTATGCTGATCATATCAAGTAATACTGTCTTTGGTCTTTAAGATTATGTAATGAGGAATGTCTCGTAGTGGTGGTGGTGGTGTTGGTGGTGTGTGTGTGTGTGGGTTTGCGTGTGCATTTCTTGCACAAGCTCTTAGGCAAATAACTACTTTGTCCCCCACATGGTGTCCACATCAGTGGCCCCTGTATAAAATGCATACCAATGTTTCTCCTCCCTTCTTATCTGTGTACACTTGCTCCTCTTTGGCCCTATTTTCTGACGTAAGTTGTTTCAAACCAGGCAGGACGGTCATGCTGTTATGAAGGCTAGCGCAATTATAATTTAGTTTTATCTTTAGCTTGTGACAGAGAGGTGGTAATAAGGTTGGTCAGGAGGGGAACACTGTGATAATGGTGAAGATGAGGGCTCAATATACATTGAGAACCTGCTGAGATGGTAGTCAGGAAGAGCCAGATACCCTGCAGGTGGCCAGAAGAGAAGGCTCTGCTAATGAAGGGCTGCCTCCCCCTCCACAGCTAGGGAACCCCAGCTTTGGCCCTTGGGACTCCCATGGAACGTTCTCCAGGAGCTCTGGTGTAGGAGGATCCCCTCTGAGGAGGAGCTGGTTAAGAGGATGCAAACATGTGCTTGCAGAAAACGTTTTCTCACAGTGCACAGTTCCAAGAAAACGCAGCAAGGAGAGGGATTAGGAGCATTAACTTTTTTTTTTTTTTTTTTTTTTTTTGAGATAGAGTCTTTCTCTGTCGCCCAGACTGGAGTGCAGTGGTGCGATCTCGGCTCACTGCAAGCTCCACCTCCTAGGTTCACGCCATTCTCCTGCCTCAGCCTCCCAAGCAGCTGGGACCCCGCCACCACGCCCGGCTAATTTTTTTTTGTATTTTTAGTAGAGACGGGGTTTTGCCGTGTTAGCCAGGATGGTCTCGATCTCCTGACCTCGTGATCCACCCCTCTCGGCTTCCCAAAGTGCTGGGATTACAGGCTTGAGCCACTGTGCCCAGCCAGGAGCATTAACTCTTACGGGACATTAGGGCATCACTACAGAGTACAGCTTGAGTTAACAAGAAGCTTATTACCCTGACTCTTCACATAGCTCGGTAGGAGAAAGACATAAAGAAAATAAACGATTATCAGAAAATCATTAGGATATAACCTGGGCATGTCAGACAGAGCCGAGTTTCCTGTCATGTCCGCCCTGAATTCCTGGATGTTCACAATCCAAATCCCTGATTGGGAACCACAGGCATTTATTTCAACATAGGGAGTCTTTAAAGAAAAATCAACATAGGAACATGATACAGAGAACATCAGGAAACTTGAACTAGAACTCTTGACTTTGCTATTAAGCAGCTGTGTGAACCTGAACAATTGTTTAGCTGTTCTGCGCCTCTGCTTCTTTTCCTCTGTAAGAGAAATTGGACTAGACATTCTTTGAGGTTCCTTATAGTGCTAAGTCCTTATTGAGCTTCATAAAGACATATGTGCATATCTGTGTACCTCATAAGGTCGAAATGATTTTCACTATAACAATTACTGACACTAAAATAAAATAGGCTTTTCTATATCAAACTAACCAGCATTCCCTATGTATGGCCCCATCATTCTGGTTTCTGTTCAATAGTACCCTCTCTTACCGTGGTGTCTGGAAGGAGCATATGCAGCTCCTTAGGGTGTCTCTGTCTTGATAAGTAGTTTCCAGAGAAGCTGGGTCATTAAGTTGCATTAACTCTAATTAGTGATCAGGAGGGAATATAAATCAATAATTTTCATTAACAGTCTAAGCTATGTTGAACCCCATTTCCTCAAAGCCCAAGATTTCCTTTCAAGCAAAAGGCATATTTGGGAACAGATTTTTTTTTTTTAGATTTCTGGAATGCAAATTAGCCAATTTCTTTATCTAGGGTTCACAGAAGAGACATTTTATTTGTGTCAATGAATTCTTAAGAACTGAAATACTTGCAAACCTAAAAAAGGTATTGCTGATTATGAAATTTTAGGACAGCAGGGAGGATGGTGTTATGAAGGTGACTCTTTTGTTGTCTCACTGTATTCCTAAAACCAATCTTGATTATGTGATGGTTTTAAGGAAAAGTTGTAAGTTAATACTTATAACTTGCATTATTTAGCCCTTTCTACATACCAGGCACTTTGTATTCACTATGTTAAATAATCCCCACAGCAAACCTTTGTGTTAAAAATAATATGCAACCTCAGTTGAGGAAGCTGAAGCTCAGGGAGGTTAGGCAACTTGCCCAACATTATCCAGCAATAATTGTTAGACCTTCTTGTCTCCTAGACTGTCTAATTCCAAAGCTTGTGATTTTGAGATCTATGACATTCTGTCTTCAATACAAAATGTTCGCCTAGAGTCTGACAGAGGCTCACCAATAATGGACATTAACCACAGGTGTTTTAGTAGGATGCTGATTTTCAAATATGCAGTGGATCAAACTCTCGAGATCAGACTCTTCACTGGGAGCATACCTTCTAATTTCTAATAGAATGAGTTAGTGTATAAAAAGAATAAGTTTAGCACTGTTCACAATAGCAATGACTTGGAACCAACCCAAATGCCCATCAATGATAGACTGGATAAAGAAAATGTGGTACATACACACCATGGAATACTATGCAGCCATTAAGAAGGATGAGTTCACGTCCTTTGCAGGGACATGGATGAAGCTGGAAACTATCATTCTCAGCAAACTAACACAAGAACAGAAAAACAAACACCGCATGTTCTCACTCATAAGTGGGAGTTGAACAATGAGAACACCTGGACACAGGGAGGGGAACATTACGCACTGGGGCCTGTCAGGGAGTGGGGTGCTAGGGGAGGGATAGCTTTAGGAGAAATACCTAATGTAGATGACGGGTTTATGGGTGCAGCAAACCACTATGGCACCTGTATACCTATGTAACAAACCTGCACGTTCTGCACATGTGTCCCAGAACTTAAAGTATAATAAAAAATAAATTAATTAGAAAAGAAAAAGTTAAAAGTAAAAGAAAAAAAGAGAATAAGTTACTGTGCCAATATTATGTCATTACATCTACCGCCAGGATAAAAGTATGTGGGCTCTCGTGCCCCTTCTGGCCTTTGAGAAACTGTGAGAACAAACAAACTAGGACAATTCATTGCAGTGAGTGGTGAGAGTTGAGGTGACTTGAGTTCCATGTAGCATCTGCCAGGTTAACAGAGCCCCGTGTTTCATCCCACATCAATTTCAGTCACTGGATGTGGGTTATTCAAGCGGCTTTCACAGGCAGCTGCTCTGTTGGCCGGCTCCACTGTAACTTGTGCTGGTGAGTCAGATTTCATGCCCAATTAGGATATAAGGGGAAAGCTTCCCTTGTGGAAAGGACACAGCTGCTCTGGAATAGAAGCTTCAAGATGCTCAGAACAGTCTCATAAATCTGGCCTCCTCATTCCCTGATGCAGGCACAGAGAGGTAGAAGTAGAGAAACGCTTTATTCCTTGGCCTTGAGTCTGTGCCATTTTAAACATACATGAATATACACATAAATACCTTAGGCTATACATATATACCATATCAATATACAGTACCTATATTAATTTATTGTGTGTATGTGTGTACATGTATACAGTCGGCCCTCTGTATCCACGGGTTCTGCATCTGCAGATTTAACCAACCGCAGGTAGAAAAAACTTGGAAAAAAATAATAAAAAACAGCAATGCAACGAAAAAAATACAAATGTGAAAATAATATAGTATAACAACTATTTACCTAGCATTTACATTGTACCAGGCATTATAAGTAATCTACAGATGATTTAAAGTATACAGATGTGCATAGGTTATAAACAAATACTACACTATTTATCTAAGGACTTGAACATCCCTAGATTTTGATGTCTGCAGGGGGTGGAGGGAGTGTTTTAAAACCAATCCCCAGGGATACTAAGGAATGTCTGTTTATGTGTTGTGTGTGAATGTGTGTGTGTGTGTATGTGTGTGTATATATACATATATATAATACATTTCCGTATGTATATCAAAGGTTGTTTTGTTTTACTGCCATACACAAATGAAACTTGTACACACATATATACACACATATATCTTACACTATAGATACACCATACAAAGATACATAGTATATACATATTAGTCTATATATTGTATGCATGTGTTCACATGTATATATGTGTATATGTAATTTCGACATGCATGCAACTACTACCTTAAGCGCCTTCCCCAAGGGGTAGGTGAAGAGAGAATCAAAATGGGGAATACTGGTCTCCTTCACAGTGTGTTTGATATTTGATATGTTTGATTCTCATTTTTACCGTTCCTGAAAATCTAGAAGTAAAAACCTGATATTTTTCAGATAAATTACTGCCCTTATTCACTCTATCCTCCTACATACTGTGGACAGACAAGTGTTCCTGGTGCCCAAATTACCCATGTTACTGACATTGATCAAATTCACACGGTTGCAGCTTTACTTTCCACCTAATAGGGTCTATGGATTCATGATCTTAATTTTTCTCAAGCTTCCAAGACATTTGTTTTTTCTTCTATAGAATTGCCTTCTGTTTCTATTCTTGTTTTTACTTGTCCACTTGTTATTCTCGCAGGACTCCATGATTGCATTTCTATTTTCCTAGTATTCTCACTACCTGCGTCCTGTTGGTTATCAAGTCCTGTCTTTTAGATCTCTGGAATGTTTCTGAATCTTTTGGTTACTTGCTTCCCCACTGCTGTTTTCCTAGTTTATTCACCCACTACCTATTGCCTGGACTATTACGTTTCCAGGACGCTATGCTTTTACCAGCTCTCTCCTTCAAAACATGCTCTGCACTTATAGCCAGTTCACATCTGAATATCATTTCCTGGGCACCTACTAACTTATAACATTTAATACACAAAGCACCTCTGAAATATACTTTCACACATGAGTGAATTTGCCTCAGGAGAAACTGGTCCCCTGACTCTAAAAGCAGTGTTCCGTCCTCCATAAAATGCATTTCAAAAGCATATATTTAGTCTACCTCTCTTCAAAAGCATTGGTGTCTCCTCCTTGCCTCTAGAATAATCTAGATTCCTTAGAATGTTTTTCAAGATCCTTTAGAATCTCCTTTTGTGGTTCCTTTCAGGATTCATGCTCCCTAGTCCCTGCTTTGGAAGCAAGCACTAGTTCCTTGACATTACTGAAGTGTCCATGTACATTTTTGTGTACAATGCCCTTGCCTCCCTTTTCTACCACCAGAGATCCTTGTCATCTTTAGGAACAATCTGACAAGACACTACCCCTTTAAAGCTGTTTTTAAAATTTTCTCAGGTAGAATTATATAGAATGATGTGGAATTATGTGCTTCTTATCTGTGTTCATAGAATGATTTGATTATACCTGTAATCATAGTCCTATCACATTATTTTTCCATTTAATAATAAACAATTTTATTTTTTTGTTGAATAGTGCAGTGTGCATACATTAAAAGTATATTTCCAAAGAATATGGTATGATTGGAAAATGCTGATTTGTACCAGTCAGCTAAGAAATGTTTGGTAACAAACAATCCCTATGTCTCAGTGACTTACAATCACACAAGCTTGCTTTTTGCTCATATAAAATGTCCACTGCAGGGTGGCTACAGCCCTCCATTGTGTCTTCGTTCTGGAACTGAAGCTGAAGGAGAAATGTAGCTAGAAATTGCCCATCCAGAAACTACCCCCTCTAAAGAGTTGGGCCTAGGGCTGGGGTACTGGTTGCCTAGTTCTAAGGGGAGTACTACATTTATCTTTAACATAAGTATATAGGCAACCACTAATAAAAACTACTTTGTGGAAAATGACTGATTCCATTTGCTTTTTACTAGAAACTGGGTGAAAACTTCAGCTATGTGCCTTAAAGGATTGTATCATTTCAGATTTTAATTCTTTCAGCTTCTAAGTGCTGCTGACATTTTACAAAGTTTGGTCAAACAAACATTCACCACATCTCATTGGTCTGTGCTGAAATGACCGTTTCCTATTTATAGACTCTGTCAGCTTATATAGGGAATTCTTACACTCTACAGCTGCAATTGCTCAAAAATCAGTTTTCAATTAAGGTGACCTTATCAACTATATGTGCAGTCCTCAAATCAACTGCTGTCATTTATTGCCTTCAGACACCAGTCTTGTTTTTTTTTTTGTATTACGTTGCACCTCTGCTCCAGCATTTCTTGTGATCTGCCTCACAAGCTACTAAAAAGATTGGTTTGAAAGCTTGATTTATTCTGGCAGATAGGATGGCATTCAGATTTAGACTGATCTTCAGAATGATCCTCCATGGGGAAGAACAATGCATGTTGTAATAGTTCCCACGTAATACTATGAAAGATGGTTCTGGTTACAAGGTGAGGCAATACGGTGTAAGGAACAGAAGCACAGACTCTGAAGTCAGGCTGTCTGACTACCCGACTGAGGCCAGACTGTCTGAGGTTAGAGCCTGGTGGCTAAATACTGCCTATGTATAATTGGAAAATTCAATTAAGCTGTCTTTCTGAGTTTTCTCAATGGAAAAATGGGAATAATAATCAGTTACACTATGTGGTCATGGTGAGGTTTAAATAATGTGATATAGGCATATACCTCATTTTATTGTGCTTTGTTTTATTATACTTTGCAGATGTGTTTTTTACGCATTAAATTTTTGTGGCAATCTTGCATCGAGCAAGTTTGTCGGGTACCATTTTTCCAATAGTGGGTGTTCACTTTGTGTTTTTATGTTGCATATTTGTAATTCTCACATTATTTCAAACTTTTCCACTATTGTTATATTTGTTATGGTGATCTGAGATCTTTGATGTTACTTCTATAATTGTTTTGGGGCACCACAAACTGCACCCATATGATAGCAGGGTTTTTTTTTTTTTTTTTTTTTTTTTTTTTTGAGCTAGATTCTAGCTCTGTCGCCAGGCTGGAGTGCAGTGACACGATTTTGGCTTACTGCAACCTCCACCTCCTGGGTTCAAATGATTCTCCTGCCTCAGCCTCCTGAGTTGCTGGGATTACAGGCACACACTGCCATGCACAGCTAATTTTTGTATTTTTAGTAGAGACAGGGTTTCACCATGTTGGCCAGGATGGTCTCGATCTCCTAACCTTGTGATCTGCCCACCTTGGCCTCCCAAAGTGCTGGGATTACAGGCCTGAGACGATGGCAGGTTTAATCAATAAATGTTTGGTGTGTTCTGACTGCTCCATTCACTGGCTATTCTTCTGTTCCCCTGTGTCTCTCCATTTCCTTTGGCCTCTTTATTCCTTGAGACACAACAATATTGAAATTTAGGCCAGTTAATAACCCTTCATGGGCCTCTAAGTGTTCAAGTAAAAGGAAGAGTCACATGACTCTTACTTAATCAAAACCTAGAAATGATTAAGCTTAGTGAGGAAGGCATGTTGAAAGTCGAGAGAGGCCAAAAGCTAGTCCTCTTGCATCAGTTAGCCAACTTGGAAATGCAAAGGATAAGTTCTTGAAGAAAATTAAAAGTGCTACTCCAGGGAACACACAAATGATAAGCAAAGGAGCCTTAATGCTCATGTGGAGAAAGTTTTAGTGGTGTGGATAGAAGATGAAGCCAGCCACAACATTCCCTTAAGCCAAAGCCTAATCCAGAGCAAGGCCCTAAGTCTTCAATTACATATACAGGCTCAGAGAGGTGAGGAAGCTGCAGAAGAAAATTGGAAGCTAGCAGAGTTTGGTCCAGAGGTTTTAAGGAAAGAAGCTGTCTCCATAACAGAAAAGTGCAAGGTAAAGCAGCGAGTGCTGATATAGAAGCTGCAGCAAGTTATCCCGAAGATCTAGCTAAGATCATTGAAGAAAGTGACTACACTAAACAAATTTTCCATTTAGATGAAACAGCCTTATATTGGAGGAAGATGGCATCTGGGACTTTCATAGTTAGAGAAGAGAAGTCAATGTCTCGCTTCAAGTCTTCGAAGGACAGGCTCACTCTCCTGTTAGAGGTTAATGCCGCTGGTGACTTTAAGCTGAAGCCAGTGCTCATTTATCATTCCCCAAATCCCAGAGATCTTAAGAATTATGCCAAATCTACTCTGTCTGGGCTCTATAAAGAGTGAAAAAAAGCCTGAATGACAGCACATGTCTTCACAGCGTGGATTACTGAATATTTTAATCCCGCTGTTGAGACCTACTGCTCAGAAAAAAAAATTCCTTTCAAAATAATACTTTTCGTTGACAATGTACCTGGATACCCAAGATCTCTGATGATGTATAAGAAGAGAAATGCTTTTTTTTCTTGCCTGCTAGCAACATCCATTCTGTAGCCCATGGATCAAGGGGTCATTTCAACCTTGAAGTCTTATTTAAGAAATATGTTTTGTAATGCTAGAGCTGCCATTGCTCTGATGGAGCTGGGCAAAGTGAATTGAAAATCTTCTGAAAAGGATTCCCCATTTTAGATGATGCCATTAATAATGTTTGTGATTCATAGAAGGAGATCAAAATAGCAACATTAACAGGAGTTTGGGAAGAGGTTGATTCCAATTTTCATGGGGGACTTTGAGGGGTTCAAGAGTTCAGTGGAGGAATTACCTGCAGATGTGATGGAAATAGCAAGAGAACTAGAATTAGAAGCGGAGCCTGGAGATGTGACTAAATTGTTGGAATCTCATGATAAAACTTGAGCCAATGAGGAGTTGCTTCCTACAGATGAGCAAAGTGGTTTCTTGAGATGGAATCTACTGGTGAAGATGCTGTAAACATTGTTTAAATGGCAACAAAGGATTTAGAATGTTACATAAACCTACTTGGTAAAGCAGCAACAGGGTTTGAAAGGACTGACTCATTTAGAAAGAAGTTCTACTGTGGGTAAAATGCTATCAAACAGCACTGCATGCTACAGAGAAACCTTTAGTGAAAGAGTCAATCAATGAGGCAATGAGATTGCCACAGCCATTTCAACCTTCAGCAACCACCATCCTGATCAATCAGCAGCCATCAACATCAAGGTAAGACCCTCCACCAGCAAAAAGATTATGACTCATTGAAGGCTCAGAGATTTGTTAGCATTTTTTAGCACTATTTTAAAATCGAGTCATGAACATACTGTGGACATGATGCTATTGCATGCTTAATAGACTGCAATATAGTGTAAACAGAACTTTTATATGCACTGGGAAACCAAAATATTCACGTCACTTGCTTTGTTGCAGGGATCTGGAACCAAACCCACAATATCTTCAAGGTATGCTTACATATTTAAAATACTTGGCACTGTGCCTGGGATATAGTATGTATTTTATAATGTGAATTATTCTCATTATTTCGTGTTCATTGTATTGGCTACTATCTTAGGAAGAATCAACTTATGTTGTTTGGCTAAAGACGATAACTAAATGGAAATTAGTAGGGGGATGTGAACTCAGTATAAGGACAAATTGTTTTGCAATGAGAACTAGCAAATAACGGAATGAGTTACCCCTCAAGGTAGCATACTCACTGGACATGTGATGAGGTAGAGTCTCAACAGCAGTGCTCTATGAAATTAAATGCCAAATCAATAGAATATGTTAATTATTTGCTAAGTGATTATTAATAGTGTAATTTTATTAAGTTTCTCTGGATCCTCTTTTTATGCAACAATTTAGAAATATTTATGTATGGTCATCAGTTTTTATCCTTGTTAATTGCTCATGAAGCCTACGTAGTCTACCTTATATATCTACATAGAATTCAAATAACATCATTGTGTACATTGTAGGTTAAGGAGTAAAAGTATAGTTAAAAAAAAAACAAGGAAAGTGGAAATTAGATTTGTTGAAATAAATTACACAGTACTAGTTTCACTTGGTCTTTCTGAATGAAGCCCACACGTCTGGAGTTTGCTTCGGATCCAAAAACATTTACAAAAGAGAGTCTCAATTTATTGTCATAATATGTATACCCATGGAGGATTGATTCCAGGACCCCCAGTGGATACCAAAGTCTGAGGATGCTCAAATCCCTTATATAAAATGGTGTAGCATTTACATATAATCTATGCACGTTCTCCTGTATTTAAATCATCTTTAGATTACTTTTAATACCTAGTACAAGGCATACACATTGCTTTATTGACGTGGCTTCAACATAGTACTTGGCATGTGGCAAATTGAAGTTTTGCTTTTTGGAACTTTGTGGAATTGTTTCTCCTGGAATATTTTAAATCTATGGTTGATTGAATCTTTGATGTGGAACCATGGATACAGAGGACCAAATATATATATATTTTATTAAGATTGTACCAATCTTATATATATTTTATTAAGAGATATATATATATATATACACCTTGCCACTTTTTATTAATATTTATTAAGATTGGTACAATGTTTAAGTAAATGAATACATTTTATATGTATCTTGACTCTAGATAATAATTTCTATCCCCTGAATTCTATATTCCATATCCTTCCAGTACTCATATACACATATTTTACAATATTATGTTGCATATGTTGTTTTATGGTCATTTGCTTTAGCTTGGGGATGCATAGGAGATTTCTAGAGCTAGACTGTGAGATCTTTGAGAGTAGAGAACATATTTTCTGCATCTTTATATCTCTCTATCCTTCCTTGCCTCTCCCATCATGAACCTAATGTACTTAGTGTATTGTCAAACATGAGTAGGCAAACAATTAATGTTTACCAAAAGACTGAACTAACAAACAACTTAGCAAATGGAAACTAAAGCTCTAAAGGCTAATAGTTTATAAAACTCTTTTAGCCACCTGTCACTGAAAACTGTTTGTTCTCATGTCCTAAGAAAAGTGTGTTTATACCATTTGGTTAATTGTTATAGAGATCAAAGGTAAATAATTAATAAAAATTCCATTTTTCTACATTGTTAAGTTCAAAGTAAATCATCCCCCGAGTCATTTGTTTCTATAAAGTAATTTTGATAATTGGTTGGAAGATCTTCCCAATTTTCCTGCTTCTACAAAATTATTACATAAGTTTAGTGCTCAAAATAATATTAACTAGATGCATAGGCTGTACATGGATAGGTTATACATAGGTAATAAAAAGATAATTTAAAAATAACAGTTTAATCACATGCTACTGAAAATACGGCTAGAAATATGTCTATATTTCTGTCAAATGACAGCTTGGAAGAATCTTTTTAAATAAGGTTAGCTGGTTGAAATATCAGCTTGCTTTTTTAAAAAAAACTTTTTATTTATTTTTAATTGACAACTAAAAATGGTATATATTTATGATGTACAACATGATGTTCTGAAATATGTATACATTGTGGAATGGCTAAATCAAGCTACTTAACAAATGCATTACCTCACATATTTACCATTTATTTGTGAGAACACTTCAAATCTAATCTGTTAGTAATTTTCAAGTATACAATACATTGTTGTTAACTATAGTCATCATGTTGTACAATAGATGACTTGAACTTATTCCTCCTATCTACAATTTTATATCCTTTGACCAATGTCTCTTTCCCCATCAACTTGCTTTTGACTGACACAATTCTACTGGATGGTATATTTACTGCTAATCATAGCTGAGCACATACTCTGTGCCAGAAACTGTTTCAAATTTTTGCCTGTTCAATACTATTTAAAATGGATCATGTAACAGAAACTATTAGGATGTGCATGTGTGATCTCCAAGTAACTATCTGAGGTAGAAAGGATTGATAACTGATTTTTATAGATGTGGGAACTGAGACATCAAGAAGTTAAATAACTTGCCCTAGAAAAGTTATTGAAAGGGATGGAACTGTAATTTGAACCAAAGCAACTAGACTTCAAAGCTGGCGATCTGAACGTTCTGTTTATATGTCATCTTTCCCTTATAGGTGATTTTATGAAACAAAACAGTTTTTCAAAAGTCAAAATTATTCTCTGAAAACTCAACGCGCTATTCTCCCATTGTGTTTCTTGCAGATGATCAATTAAATTAATTAATTAATTTTTATTTATTTATTTATTTTTTTGAGACGGAGTCTCGCTCTGTCACCCAGGCTGGAGTGTAGTGGCATGATCTTGGCTTACGACAACATCCACCTCTCCACCTCCTGGGTTCAAGCAATTGTCCTGCCTCAGCCTCCCAAAGTGCTGGGATTACAGGCGTGAGCCACCATGGCCAGACCAATTTACTTTTAATATACTCAAAACTGTAAAGAAGATATATATATATATATTAGTGAATATACTATTCCTCACGGGTCCCACACTATGAGGAAGTGGAGAAAATGATATTGAATTCAATTTGGTAAGCTTACCATATCTTTGACCAGCCTCTTGGGTAGCCCAGTCACTTAAGAAAAACTCAGCCTTCAGCTCCTTTTCCCTTCCTCCTGCTCGTCTTCAGTATGGGGTTGAGGGGTTTGGAAAGATAGTGAGATCTTGTGGAGTTGGTCTCTGAGGACGTGAGAGCTGATATCTACAGCATCTATAATTTGTCTGGTTCTGTTTTTGAGTATTCTTTGGGTCCACTGCTGAAATCTGTTGTAACTCATGGTCTCCAATGCCTTGACTTGGTGAAGCCTGCTAGTGTGCTAGGCTGATGAGGTCCAGGCCAGCTCTTCAGGGACTGTACTGTCTCACTGTGCCACCCCTGCCACCCCCTATTCATTGCTGATTGATAATCCTTCTTTATAGGACCATTTTACACATTGCTACAACAATACCCTTGAAAAGCTGTCAATCAGACCCACTGATCACCTCCCCACTCCCAAAAGGCACAAGCAGAAATTTCAGGGCCATGATAATTTAGGTCATGCTAGATGTAGCTTTGCTATGCCTGACTATGGCTTCTCTTAAGGGGCTGAGGTAACGCTGGGCAGGTTGATTCTCCTTCCTTAGCGCTCCCAGTGGAAAGTGGAGTCAACATACTTCAGTTTTTCTCTTTTTTTCTCAACTTGTATGAAATATTTTTCCCTTCTGAGGCTTTGGCTTTGTTATGTTTTTTCTTCTTTCTGCTAAAAAAAGTGAGCTTTTTCCTTAATGTTTTGATCGAGCTGGACCAGTTTCCTAAGTCATAGATAACTTCCTTCTGTCCTCTGCCTTTTTTTTTTTCTGTAGGCTTGTTTAAAAACCATTGAAAGGTACACCAGTCACTGTTCTAGCACTTATAAACAGTAGCTCATTTAGTTAAATTTGCATAATACTTATAACATCCCTATTAGATCGGTATTATTATCCTATCTCTTTAGAAGAGGAAACTGAGCACAGGTTGTTAAGTGTCTTACCCAAGGTCACACAGCTGTTAAGCAGAGGAGCCAGGACTCAAACCCTGGGAGACTAGCTCTGAGTCCATGCATCTAGTTACCATGCTATGTTGCCATCCACATAAAAAAATGGCAGATGTGGTCATTGCATTACTGATGAGGAAACATAAAATTGAATGATGTCAAAGATATTATATCCACTACAGGCTCATTAATTTGAAGTATGCTAACTCAGAGAAATAGGTCTGAAAGGAAAAGAAATCACTCAGAGAACTCTTGAGTTGAATAAATATTTTAATTGTCAAAATCGTTCTAGACTTCAGTTGGAAGAGGAGTAATCTCTATAGGTATATGCTTGAATAACATTAATGTGCAGGCTTGCTGCCAGTTGCAGGGAAATAATATTTTTTTTTTTATAAATACATGGGATGAAGAATTTGACTGCTTATGTAGTTTGATTTAAGTCATCTTGCAAGGGCCATCTATTTCTGAATATCGCCTTCATGAATTAAATTCCTTAACTCTACTTCATCTAAACTTCTTCTACTTAAGAATTCACTTGAGGCAGGTGAAAACATATTTTGGAGTATGGGGGATTTGAAAGCAGACCAGTGTGATGTGATACAACTGAGGTTTTGAGGATGTGGGCAACAGAAAGGCAACCTAGGGGTTGGGAGAGAGACAGCATTAGGATGTATTAAGGTTGAATCATATGATATTGCTGATATTCAACTCTTTGGACCTACAAAAATGTCAATTTCATGTGATTTAACCTAAAGAAGGAATATGAAAATTTAGTTTACTTTGGAATTTCGCCCAGGATTAGCCTATACTCAATCTATACCCTTATTTTATCCAATCCCGTCTCTACCTTAACACTTTAATAAAAGTTAAACGTGATTTGAGGGAATATTTATTTTTAAACTTTTAACTTTGCCTGTGAATGTAAAACCTCAGTATGTTGCTCAATATGTAAAAACCGTGTTTTTAAACTTTTATTTTAGGTTTGGGGATAAATGTGCAAGTTTGTTATGTAGGTATATTGCATGTCACAGGGGTTCGATATACAGATTATTGAGTTACCAGGGGATAAGCATGGTACCTGATAGTAGTTTTTCCAGCCTCCTCTTCCTCCTGTCCTCCACCTTCAAGTAGGCCCCAGTGTCTGTTTTTCCCTTCTTTGTGTTCATGGTACTCAATGTAAAAACTGTTTTTTAACTTGCATTTTAAATTTACGGAAGGATGCTTGTGGACTATCTAGTGTTGATGGGCCATACCTTAACAACCTGTTTCTTGCAATAAAGGCCATAATTTACCTATTTTGAGACCTGATGTTAAAGAATGATATGACTGCAATTTTCCCAAGAAAAGATGAGAGAAAGGCTTTGTTTATATCTTACTCTTCTAAGGCTATTGCAAAAAAGAAATGGAATGTGACTTAGCTTTGAGATTTTGGGGAAGTGGGTGCTGTGATATTATTGTTTAAAATATATCTGAACCCATGCAATGTAAGATTTCTGACTGGTTTTAGAAGGAACTTCAAAGAACTATGCCTCTTAAAGTTTATTAGATATTTTACTTAAGATACAAATTGGGGAATACTATCTTCTTTTTTATGGATTAAATGTTTCAAGAATTAATGCGTATGCTGATTTTGTCATATGAGATATTTGAAGGCAAATCAGACCTAAAACATTTTTGGGCTTCTAAACTAGAATGAGGTTAGGTTTTCTTAAGTTATCTGATGTATCCTAAGTTACACAGTGTTGTCAGCAAAAGCATAATGGTGGCCAATTTTTTAAGTATACCTTTCTTTTAAGTTGTTTTATACTATGTTGGCTTACTCTCAGAGCATTCTAGGTTTCAGATATGTTAACTCAAACATCGATTTATTTTATTTGTGAAGTTTATTTGTGAAGTTTTACTTTTGTTTCTCTCAGACTTTGTGTATTAAATAACATTTTAAGTAAAAACTGGGTCATCAGGATTTTTAAAAATATATTTAGAGATGAATTTCTTTTACGCCTTATTCAGACCTACAAATGAAACTCTAATTACTCCTGAGTACTCAACAGTAGACAATGCAACAGACTTACAGTGTCCTTGACCTAAAGCATTACTCAGATCTTCATTCTCAAGACAAACAATAAATGGATCTCTTTTTAAAAGTTTGTGCCCAATATTAATACATTAAATTTTAAAATATACTTTTATTCCTAATTAGAACATTGCCAACCTTATATTTAATACTGAAATGCAATTGTATTTAATCACTGAAACGAAAGTTCAAGTTTAAATTTGGCTTCCAAGTTATCATAATTAGCATATAGAAAACTGACATCAATGATTTTTTAACTAAATAATAATAGTTTTGGTTATTGTACCCCTGTAGTATAGTTTGAAGTTCAGTAACATGATGTCCAGCTTTGTTCTTTTTGCTTAGAATTGTCTTGACTATTTGGGCTGTTTTTTGGTTCCATTTGAATTTTAAAATAGACCAATGGAACGGAATGGAGAGCCCAGAAATAAGGCCACACACCTACGACCATCTGATCTTCAACAGAGTTGATAAAAACAAGCAATGGGGAAAAGACTCCCTATTCAATATATAGTCCTGGGATAACTGTCTAGCCATATGCGGAAGATTGGAAGTGGATCCCTTCCTTACACCATATACAAAAATCAACTCAAGATGGATTAAAGACTTAAATGTAAAACTCAAAACTATAAAAACCCTGGAAGACAACTTAGGCAATACCATCCTGGACATTGGAATGGGCAAAGATTTCATGACAAAGACACCAAAAGCAACTGCAACAAAAGCCAAAATTGACAAATAGGATCTAATTAAACTTAAGAGCTTCCGCACTGCAAAAGAAACTATCAACCGAGTAAACAGGCAACCCACAGAATGAGAGAAAATACTTGCAAATTATGCATTTGACAAAGGCCAAATATTCAACATCTGTAAGAAACTTAAAACAAATTTACTAAGGAAAAACAACTCCACTAAAAAGTGGGCAAAGGACATGAACAGACACTTTTCAAAAGAAGACATACATGTGGCCAAGAAGCATATGAAGAAAAGCTCAGTATCACTGATCATTAGAGAAATGCAAATCAAACCCACAACGAGATACTGTCTCACACCGGTCAGAATGGCTATTATTAAAAAGTCAAAAAATAACAGATGCTGGTGAGGTTGCAGAGAAAACGGAACACTTATGCGCTGTTGGTGGAAGTGTGAATTAGTTAAGCCACTGTGGAAAGCAGCATGGCAATTCCTCAAAGAGCTAAAAGCAGAACTGCCATTTGACCCAGCAATCCCATTACTGGGTATATACCCAGAAGAATATAAATCATTCTACCATAAAGGTGCATGCACATGAGTGTTCATTGTAGCACTATTCACAATAGCAAAGACATAGAATCAACCTAAATCAGGTGCCAGACACCTGATTCTCACTACAGGCCTTTGAAATAGGTATTATTATTATTTACAGATAAACAGGCTGAGAGAAGCTGACCAGCCAGGAGATAATGAATGGCCATCCTGTGCTTTTTTTTTTTTTGAGACAGAGTCTTGCTCTGTCACCTAGGCTGGAGTGCAGTGGCACAATCTCAGCTCACTGCAAGCTCCGCCTCCCGGGTTCACGCCATTCTCCTGCCTCAGCCTCCCGCATCCTGTGCTTTTAATCATGGTTTACCACACCAACACACTCCAAGGAGCACATTCTTTAACCTTTTTTTTTAACTTTTTAAAATTTAAAATTAGAATTTTTTTTTTTTTTTTTTTTTTTTTTTGCCTTTCATAGAGATAGGGTTTTGCCATGTTACCCAGGCTGGTCTTGAACTCCTGGGCTGAAGCAATCTGCCCACCACACCTCACAAAGTGCTGGGATTACAGGCATGAGCCACCACACCCAGCCAAACAGCAGCACATTCTTAAACATTAAGCCAGTGTTTGCAAATTGTGGGCAGTTGTTTAGCTGGATCAGAATGACCTGAGGTGTGATTAAAAATGTCTATTGAGTCAGATTTTCTGGGGAACAAGTCCTGGTGAATCAGAACTATTAATGTGCATACAGTGTTTACGATACACTCAAATTCAAGAACTGTACTAAGCTAGAGCTTCTCAAACTTTAGCAGGCAAGAGAATTGCCTACAGGGCTTGTTACGACACAGATTGCAGGCTTCAGAGTTTCTAATACAGTATGTCTGTGGTAGGGTCTGAGAATTCCCATGTCAAACAAGGTCCTAGGTGACGCTGATATTGCTGGCCCAGGGACCATACTTTGAGAACCACTGTACTAGGCAATACTGTGGTAGACACAAAGAGGATATCATTGCTTAGGGTAAAACACTTTTCATAAAGTCCTTGCATTCTTTTGCTTTGTTAATGTCGTAATAAATTGTGTGTATGTGGAGATTGTTTTAATCATTTCTATTTTCTTTTCAACTGTAATGTTCTGATTGCTCTGTTTTTTTGTTGACATGCACACCTATTATGCATTTAAGAGCTGCAGCACACTTTTTCCTGGAGTCCTAAGATGCGACAATTAACACTTGTTACTGCTTTGCTAGGTTAAAAAGCAAAGCAAGGAATTGTTGAGGCTTCTGTTCATTTAGGAAGTAGACATACAGCACTCTATGAATTAAAAAGGATATAATCTAAAATGGCATGCATCCTCTGTCTGTCATCCAGCCCCCACATAACCCCCTTCCCATCAATGGATGGTTGCTTGAGCATAGAGCCAGGTACAGTAAAATGCTTCGACTGGGGTATGTAGCAATTATTCTCTGAGTCGCTGAAGTCTTGCCTCACCAGAGAAAGCCAGCTGATGCGATTCAGCCTGAAGGCCTTTTCAGCAGAGCATCTGTTTTTTTTGATACACTTTGCCTATTAATTTTTATCTCCAATGTGTTGGAACTGAGAAAAAAATTCTCCTCCTTGATGCCTGTCTCTGCTTATTTCTCATGTAGGTATCATTGATGCTTCTATGAAGCATATCACCAGAAAGCAAAAAATTTTCTTTGTTTCTTAAATATTCTCTTTGTGTAACTGTATATTTAACAAGAGTAGATTAAACAATCTTGATATCTTCCAGCCTGTGATTCTAAAGTTCTACTGCATACATTTATATATGTACTTATATATATTTATTATATATTATGAGATTATGAGATATATATTATATATGAGATATGTTTTTATATGTGAGATATGTTTTATATATATATACATTTTTTTCTTTTTTTGAGGGGATTATTCCTCCAAGACAGACATATAAATTTTTACTCACCAAATTTATTCTAAACATATTTTCTTCTATAACATAACTCTCTTCATTTCTAGGAAGCCATAATTGGGAATCCTATTTTCAGAGGAAATCTGTTTTTTAACTGCCACACTACTCTTAATTCAAAGCGAACTGGCAAGGTGAAACAATCTCCACTCCTATTGAATTTACCCAAGATCTTCTCAACAATGAAACCAATACAAAATTGTCACTATAGAAACCACAGTAGACATAGAGATAGTTTCAAAAGGAAAGTGTTGCCTGGAACAGAGAGACAGGGTTTTCTAAAACTCTTCAGTCATACATTAAAATTTGGTGATAGTGAGGAATTTTTAAGAAAATTAAGTTCTGAAAATGCCTAGGGATAGAAGAAATAAAACTTTGACACTTTTCTGAGTTGTTTATATTATATAACTGCCTTAGGGTTTTCAGAAGGGATTATACTATGTTAGATCTGTTGAAGATGGCATTTTAAAAGCTACCTAAATGAGATTGTAACACTAATATTGCATTGAAAGATATCATTTTTGCATTTTGTATGGAAAAAAATCAGTCATATCAGTCATTTAATCATTGAATTTGTTTGCTTTGAAGGGGCAAATGGTTTTACCCTTTAAATATTTTATATTAGATAGTATTATGTCTGCTTGTTTTATTATTTTAGTTGCATTTCATCTTCTTTCTAATTTTTTTAATAAAGTGATGCTGATAATAAGATTCTGAACCTTAAGTAATCTCTCTTATTCCTTTGTTTATTTAATGTCATACTTTTAAGTTGTTTTAATATAGTGTTGAGGACAGTAAATAAAATAATAGCATCTACTGTCTTTGTCTACCTAAACTAAATAATTTATTTTTGAACTACTGAGCAGCTTAAGGATAAAATGAAATGATGAAATGGAAACACAAAAACTGCTCACCCTGATAACAAGCCATATCATTCATCCTTGTCAAAAGTCAGTAGGTATCATGTTCTTTTGTTTTACCGATATACTATCGAACCAACCTAGGAAAGTGTGACATCAGATAAACACAGGTACAGAACAAATTACCTATCATTGAATCTTATTTTCTTTTTCTCCCTCCTTTCTTTCACTTATTCAGAATTCAAACAGAAGGGGATATAATTTACATAATGTTGATGCCCAAAAGAATTTTGGCTTCAAACAATTTCCCATGTCTCGTCCTAGAGTAAATAGTTGATTTATGTATTCATTGAAACTAAATGGGCAAAAGAATTATTAATGATTAGTGAGTTATTGTGGAGTATTGCCCTAGGGAAGAGAGAAAGAGATCAGAGAGCTCTGGTCCCTTCGCTCTACCAGAGCTTCTGATAAAAACCTCTTGGCATTGTTGACTATTTATAGCCTTTTTGGGCTATTCATGCATTTTATTACTAAAAGAAATTGGAAATAGCACAATTTGCAATAAATGGAATTTTTGTGTAGCAGAGCCTTGAGCACTGAATTCTGGAGTTAATTTTATTGGCATGAGTTACATTTCTCACTAGAACCCACTTCTAAGAAGCACCACGCCTGCAGATCAAATCTTACCTTGGACTTACTTGAGCTTGGTGTTGTTTCATTGCTTATTACTAACTCTCAATTCCAAGCCCCACAACAGTAAAATTTGGCCTCCATAAATGCCTGCTAGAGAAATGAAACTGGAATAGTGTTTCTAATTTGGGGTACATGCTTCTTTGAACATTTATGGAATTTAAAATGATTTGGTGGATATTAGAAAGGAGAGGTCAGAATTGTAAGGAAATGTGGAAGGAAATCTCTTGTTAGGCTTTGCACAGCTGAGCTATCTGATGATTAGGAATAGACTCTCTGGCATGTTTTGGTCAGATGCTTTCATGACTAAAAACACATCATACAAGCTAATCTACCACCTACAAATCACAACTGGGAACAGGTTGTAAAGTTCTCACACATTCCCATGAATGCATGATGTGAGAAACAACCAAATTTATGGATTGATATAACTCATTCAATTTCAATTGTGTGCAATTCATCAAGTTTTCATGTGTTTCCTTAAATGTATGATGTTAAAAATATCAAATTTGTGAATTAATGGAATACCTCCAATTGATGTAATAAAAACAAGAAGCAGTTTTTATTAGTTACTACAGATATCCTCATACCAATGAATTGTGTATTAACACCAAAGAGGAAAACACATTGACCAATTTAACTATCTTCAGGAAAATAAATTGAATTAAATAATTATTGAATGTGATGGTTGAATTGTGAAAGATCTAGGCCATGAACACTTGCAGCACAAAGAGCAGGATAGAATACTCCTAGCATGAAGAAACTTTCTGAAAAACACGGATAGCTCAGTGCTCCCATTTGTGGGTATTCAAATTTAAGTTGAGAATCATTTTTTAGTATAGTATTAGTAATTGTCTAGTGTTGATTATTGCCTACTGCTGCCTACTTGCCACTTTCTTTCACCAGGAAACACAGGACATTTAGCATAGTGCCTGGCACATAATTTTTGAAAAATGAGAGAACAAATGACTAGGTAAGTGAGTATGAGTAAGTAAATACATACCCATGCCAGTAATCTTGTTCCTGACTTAAATCGCATGCTCTGGGGGGATAATACAATGCTGCTTTCGGGCACGTGGCACTCAGGTGCACAAGGAGGCTTCTCCTAACTCCTTCCTTCCTCTGACATGAGTCTTCCCGTGCAGGGTTGCTGTCAACTGGGCTCAGTGGCAGGTGTCTCTTCTCTCGGTGTCTTCTTCAACTGTTTGGAGGCATGCAGCATTTCTCAGCTGGGGTATATCTGAAGGGATATAATAGTGCCTTCCTCTAGACGAGTAGTGGGTCTTTTTGAAGATTATAGTATTAGCTAGGAAAGTGTTGCATCATGAGCTACTCTAACATAACTTAATAATTTCAGCTATAGTTGCTACCTTTCACTCTTGTTCACAATTTTAAAAAAATGTGGAGTCTTTCCCTTACTGTGTTTTTGGTTCTGCTTCTAACAGAAAGAGTAGACACAAATTTTGGAGCTGTACTTAGTCAAATGATCATGATAACAATGATACTTGGAAAAAATTGGGACAGCCATGATTCTAATTCTCTGACTTAAGGTAGCAAATTAACTCAGTTGATTTTAAGTTTAGTGCCCACTCAAACCTGAGTTAAGAAAGTAAATTAACTCAGTTGGTCTTAAGTTTAGTATCCCATGAGGCACCCCTAGCATATTATGCAAATTAGGTATACATAAAAAGTCAGGAGCCTGCATCGACCACAATGAGTCTTCACAAAAGGAATCTAAAAGTGATGGGAAATGAGAAGAAAAATGTTTTTCCTTTTTTCAACATGTGATAAATTATTATACAAAATAATGCTGTCTGAGTGTCCCAACAAATAAAAATATTTTTATTTTCTCTTACCAAATGCTGACTTTATTGTTCTAAGGTGTCTGAAAATTGTTTTATTGGGAATTTGATTTTTACCTCTATAATAATTATAGTACAAGAAACATGCTATGATTCCAGGGACATATATGTCTGGTGACTGAAAACTACTTGGTGATGAGGAGCAATAGGTTGTATTTAATTACTTTTGGCATTGCAATTGGGAGAATTGCTCTAGGGATTTATCTTTTGAGTTTCTACTTTTATATCTGCAAAATAAAATGACAATACTTGGCATAAATAAATGTATCTCATATAGGTGGGGTGAAAAGCAACCACTATATTCCTAGGTGCACACACACGGGGCATTCTTCAAATACTGTTGGCTTAATGAGGAACAAAATTACTTCACATGCAAAGAGCTTTGGCTTCCTGGAACAGAACCATCCAATACAAGTATAATGCAAATCACTTATGTAATTTCAAATTCTCCAGTAGTCACATTCAAACAGTAGAAAGAAGCAAATATAATTAATTTTAATAATATATTTTATTTAAGCTAGTATATCCAAAATATTTTATTTCAACATGTAATCTATATAAAATCTATGAAATCTTTTAACTTTTTAAAATACAAAGTCCTTGAAATTGGTGTTTGTTTTATACTCCCAACATATCTCATTTCAGACTAGCCACATGTCAGGAGTTCAATAGCCACATGTGGCTCATGGCTAGTGTTTTGGGAAACAAAATCCTAAAAAAGTTGGTGGATGCTTGCTATAGACATAGAAATGGTCACCACCCAGTCTTCCCATGGTGACTTTTCAAATGCATGCAGAGATTTGACCACCTATTTGGTGAGTTTATACCAGTGATTCTCAACTGGGGCTCTTATGTTCCCTAGGAGACATTGGGTGATGTCTAGACTATTTTTGGATGTCACAACTGGGGAAGAGGGGTGCTACAATCATCTAGAGGCCAAGGATGCTGCTAAGCATCCTACATCCTACAATGCAGAGGGCAGCTCCCATAGTAAAGAATGATCCAGCCCAAAATGTCAGTGGTGCCAAGATTGAGGAACCCTGATTTATACAGAATTGACTGTTGCCTGAAAAATATGATGAGTGTCTACATTTTGTGATGGTTTAGCTGTGGCCCTCTGAAGACCAGAAACATGGTATCTTTTTGAACTCATAAATATTTGAGATCCTTGGCAATATGGTTTGGCTGTGTTCCCACGCAAATCTCATCTTGAATTATAGTTCCTATAATCCCCACGTGTTGGAGGTACCCAGTGGGAGGTAATTGAATCATGGGGGTGGGTTTTCCTTGTGCTATTCTCATGATAGTGAATACATCTCACAAGATCTGATGGTTTTATAAAGAGCAGTTCACCTGAGCACGCTCTCTTGTCTGCCTCCATGTAAGACATGCCTTTGCTCCTTTTTTGCTTTCAGCCATGATTGTGAGGCCGCCTCATCCATGTGGAACTGTGAGTCCATTAAACCCCTTTTTCTTTATAAATTAC
This sequence comes from Homo sapiens, assembly GCF_000001405.40. NCBI lineage: Eukaryota > Metazoa > Chordata > Mammalia > Primates > Hominidae > Homo > Homo sapiens. Next base: position 9,994,626 of record NC_000006.12, on the reverse strand, counting down.
TCAGTCTCTGGTATTGCTTCATAGCAGTATGAAAATGGACTAATACATTTGGTAAATACAGTTTTTTTCAAGAATGAGAAACAATTATCCCATTACCCAGACACCCCAAGTGGCATATGTAAACTCAGAAGCTGGAGAGTATGTCAGAGAAATCCTTATGAGGCTTTGATTCACAGCATAGCGCCAAAGTTTGGAGAACTAAATAGTTGAACCAAGCAGCCTTCTGGTCAGGCTTGTAGATTCTGTGGGTGGACAACTTAGAGACCATAAAAGGAGTTTAGGGGAAGCTACCAAGTTCTTTGTTCTGATTTTTCAGGCTAATAAAAATTCAGTCAGCCTAGTTTAACCACGCATGTTTCTCTTTTTTTTCCTACTACATTTACACCTTCATAATTCAAGATGACTTTGTAAATAATTAGGGAGAAGCAAAGGCTTTCCATGACTGGTGAGCTCAGAATGACTGCCTAGATGAATGCAAGTTGTGTTAGCTCTGCGGTACGAGTTTTCCTGTGCTACGCTGGTTTCATGTATCTTGAAGATGTTAATCACTCTAACTCATTTAAAGCAAAAAAAATAGCAATCACTTATGCCAAGAACTCAGAAGATGAAATGTCATTCTAACTAGATTCATACAAAGAAAATCAGAGAAAATAAATAATTTTTTAGTGCTAAGGATAGTGTTTTAGATTTCTCTTGCTGTATAGCAAATTACCGCAGAACATGAATTTGTTATTTCATCGTTTCTGTGGGTCAGGAGTCCAGAAGCCTGAGAACCAGGGTGTTCACTGGTGTAAATCCCAGAGGTGGAAGGCCCACAAACCCTGAATTCTTTTTTTTTTTTTTTTTTGTCTGAGATGGAGTCTCGCCCTGTCGCCCGGGCTGGAGTGTAGTGACGTGATTTCAGCTCACTGCAACCTCCGCCTCCCGGATTCAAGCAATTCTTCTGCCTCAGCCTCCAGAGTAGCTGGGACTACAGGCGCGTGTCACCATGCCCAGCTAATTTTTGTATTTTTAGTAGAGACGGGGTTTCACTATATTGGCCAGGCTGGTCTCAAACTCCTGACCTCATGATCTGCACGCCTCAGCCTCCCAAAGTGCTGGGATTACAGGTGTGAGCCACCACGCCCGGCCATGAACCTGGAATTCTAATGTCCAAGGCAGGAAAATATTGATATCCCAGCTCCAGAGGACAGAGTGAATTTGCCTTTCCCCTGCCCTTATGTTCTCTCGGTGCCCTTGACAGACTGGATAATACTCGCCCATACTGGTGAGGGGAGAGCTTCCTTACTGAGTCCACTCATTCATATGCCAACCTCCTCTGAAAACACTCTCACAGATACACCCAGAAATGATGCTTTACAAGTTATCTGGGTATCCCGTCAGGTTGACACCTGAAATTAGCCATCATACCTTCTTATTTGCAGCTGGTAAAATATGATTTTTATCTTTTAGATTTAAAAACATGGCAAAAAGGTGGTATCTTTCTTTAGGGATTCTTTTTGGGTGGTTCTCTGGGCCCTCTGTGAATCTATATTGAAACTTTTTTAAGTCAAGAAAATAATTTGAATAACACTAATTTCATTTCGGGTCCCTTCTCTTTCCTGTAATATCTCTGCCATTAATCATTTGGATGAACTATATCATTGTAGATTATTAGGACTATTTTCTCAGTTTCCCTTACATGACTATTGCCACATTTTATAGATTCTTTTGATGTAGACATGTAGTAGTAATGTTTCTTTAGCGTAACTGATTTGTTGCTGTATGGCATTAGATTTTTCTCTGTTATAGATCCTAAATAAATTTATAAAAGTATCTACACTTTATTGGGTATATAATGCTCCTTGATCTGTCTTAAGGGCTCAATCAGCATTATCTTATTCAATTCATATAGCAACTTTCCTTTGATTGTGTTGTTATTACTCTGATTAAACAGAAAAATCTGAAGGAGAATAGAGTTAAATGGCTTGGCCAAGACCACAGGGATAAAAAGTTATAAAGCTATGCTTCAAATTCAGTGTGTCTCCCTTGTTTCGTGTGTGTGTGTGTGTGTGTGTGTGTGTGTGTGTGTGTGTTTAAATCACAGTATGTTCTTTGTCTTGGCTATCATTACTTCCATTTTAAAAAATAATTAGAATAAGTTTGCTTATATTTGTGTGCAACTCTTGATATTTATGCTCCTACTTTTTGGAGTCTACTTGCTTATGGTCTGCTTGCTTTTTAAATTTAGATTTTTGTTAGGTTTATCTTGTGTCTTGTTTGCTTCCGTATTGTCTTTCTTCTTCCTTCATTCTGACCTGTTTTATTTCTTTTGCCTTATTTTGCTTCCTAAGTGCTAACCCTTCTTCTGGATTATAACATCATTTGCATCAAGGCATTTGCTGATCTTGGAGCAAAAAGAAAAAAGCATAATGTCTTTGCAAATAATGTGTTCACTTATGTCTACACTGGCCAGATGTAGTAATACTGAAGTTCTGATGTAAGAGCCTGATATTGTGTCAGCATTGGTCAGCTCACCCTAAATCTATATAATGCTTAACCTGTGACATAATAAACAATTCACCATTGTGAGAGAGAAACAAAGAGAAGCACAAAATGTGATTATAAGCTACAGAATTACAGTCCTTTATTTTATGAGTGCAAAAATACAATACACCTAACAAGTATTCAAGTCCTAGTTTGTTGGTTTTCAGCCCTTTTTTTTTTTTTTTTTCAGAGAAAAGATGCCCCAAGAGGCCAGATAAGGGAAAATATAAATCCGGATTTTTTTGGTTGTTAACTTAATCTCTCTGTTGTGACTCAAATAATATTAAGTGCATTTATTGTTTGACTTAGCTTACATTAGGGACATGAGTGAGACCTCACTCAGAGTATACCTTTTTCAGGTCTGGCACCTTTACAACAGCAACTAAATATAATTTTGCTTCAGTTTGGGTTTCCCAAGCATAAAATATAAAGCACATAGAATTCACTTTATTAATGCATGCCCAAGATTTCTAAACTTTTGTAACACTTGGTATTTGTTGAAGCATTAATATAAACCCAGCTCAAATACTTCACTCTGTAAGGGTGTATCATTTTATTTAAAAAAGATTAGCTATTTTTTGAACAAAAATAGGACAGAACTATGACAGCCTCAAATAAAGAAAGAATGCAGAGGACGGCAGAAGGAAATAATTGTAACACAGGTGATTTTTGCTTTGCAATAGAATTTTGTGGTGTCTTTCTCTCTCACTTCTCTCTCTTGCTCTCTCGCTTTCTCTTGTCTTTCTGTGTGTGTGTGTGTGTGTGTGTGTGTGTGTGTGTGTGTGTGTGTGTGTATGTTTTTGTTATTTTAAATTCTGGCCTGAAAGTCAAGATACACTAGTTAGACTGGTTCCCAAGCACAGCTATGTCATGGGTTGGATGTTTATGCAACATATAACTTTACCAAAATTGTCTTTAGTGGTTACTTTGGAATAAAAGATGTTTGGGGTGAATTGTATCCTTCATCACAATTTCTATTAGGTAGATGAAACTTTTTATTTTCCTACAACTTGTTCCTTTTTATTTTATTGAGCTAAAATTGAAGTGCAATAAACTACGTATATTTAAAGTTTACGATTTCAACAGTTTTGACACAGGTACACACCCTTAAAGTCATCATCACAATCAAGTTAGCAAACATGTCTGTCTGTGTACAAATTTCCTTGTACCTTTTTGAAATTCATGTCTCCTTCCACATCAACCCCAGGAAACACCAACCTGCTTCCCATCACTACAAATTGGTTTTCATGTTATAGAATTTATACAAATGGAATCATATAGTATATTGTCTTTATTGCCTGGTCTCTTCTACTTGACATAATAATTTTAAGATTCATCCATATTATTACATATATTAATAGTTCATTCCTTTTTATTGCTGAGTAGTATTCCACTGTATGGATATATTTTAATTTTGAGTTTTTCAAAGTATTTGGTTATAAAGAAAGCTGCTATGAATATTTTCATATTCAAATGTGGGCACATTTGTTTGTATCTTGTGGGTCAATGGCTAGAACTGGAATGACTGGATGGTATGGTAGGTGTATTTTAACATTTTAAGAAATGACTGAACTGTTTTCCAAAATGTTTGTCCCATTTTACATCCCATTGGCGCTACATGAAGGTTCCCATCCCTCTTCATCCTTGCCGACACTTGGTATGGTCAACCTTTTACATGTTAGAAAATCTCATGCATGTGCAGTGTTATCTTTCTGTGGCTTTGGTTTGCATTTTCTTTATGACCAGTGACATGAAGCGTCTTTTCCTGGGCTTATTGACCATTTATATATCTTTCCTTTTGTGAAATGTTCATTCAAATTTTTTGCCCATTTAAAAAATTGAGTTGTTTGTCTTCTTCTTTAGTTGTGAGAGTTCTTTATGTATTCTGGATACAAATTCTGGTGTGCTAGATGTATTGCCAATATTTATCCCCAGCCTTTTACATAATTAATGGTACTTTTCAAAAAGAAAAAGTTTTACGTTTTGATGAAATCCAATATCATATATATATATATATTCTATCTTTGCTTACTCCAAAGTTGTGAAGATTTTTGCCCCTGTGTCTTTCTAAGAATTTTTGTAGTTTTAGGTTTTATGTTTAGATCTGTGTTCTATTTCAAGTTAACTTTTGTAAATGTTGTATGGTAAAAGTTAATTTTTTTTTTCCATATGGACTTCCAGTTGATCTAGCACCACTGTTGAAAAAACTTTTATACCTCCATTGAATTACTCTGGAACCTTTATTGAAAATCAGTTGATCAGGTGGATTCACTTTTTTTTTTTTTTTTTTTTTTTTGGTTTTGGTTTCCTCTCTTACTCATTTCACACTGGCACAAACCCCCTTGGGTTCTAGTACCACAGTTCATGCATTTGTCATATTTTACGTAAAAATATCTGAATGACAAAATTCCCCCGAATTCTTAACATCCTCTAAGTATGTTACTGCTCATGGCATGCTTTTGTGCCATCAGGATACAATGTATGGTGAATGTTCCATCCGTGGCAGAAAATCGAAGGTCAGGGAAGTCACTGTCAACTACAAGATAGTTGCTCTTGGTAATATGTGGTCGGGCAATTTTCTCACACTTGGTGTGGGAGAACAGTCTGTTTTTGGATTTCTTCTACATCTGAAGGAAGTTTGGAACATTTCTCAGTTACATTTTATAATTCAGATTAAATAGAACTCCTTTCAGGTGCAGAAAAAAATAAATCATACTTCTAAGTCTATGGTTCTCAATAAGGGGAAGAGTGAGTTTTGCTTCTCAGAGAGGCAATGTCTGTCAAAAATGACACACTTTTTGTTATCACTACTGGCATCTAGTGAGTAGAGTCCAGGGATGTTGCAAAATAGCCCAAGATGCATAGGACAGTCTCCGTCACTCCTACATAGGAGAAATAGCTGGCCCCAAATTTCAGTAGTGTTGCTGTTGAGAGACTCTGCTTTAAGTATACAAATACTTAGATCCAAATCCGGCCCAGAAAGTATTCCTATACCTTCACTCCCTCTAACACTTAAGAGGTTAAAATAAGATAGGTTCGTGATTTCTTTTTAACTAAATGGCTGTTGTGCATGTAAAACAATCTTTGTCACTTTTTTCACCCATGACCCTCTGGGGGTCATATTTTTAATTTGTCGACTGTGTCACTGTGTGAAGAGTAGTGGACTTGGGTCAAAACACATGGACTGTATTCATGCCTCCAACAGATCCCAGAGGCACTTGAGTTAAAATGAGAAGATGTGGTTTGCATCTAGACTGTTTTCTGTCACATGCTGGCTTGTATGTCCTCAGAAAAGCCTCTTAAAAATTCCCTGAGCTTCAAATGGGAATAATTATAAATTTTAAAAATTTAAATATAAAAATATTGAGCTTTAAAATGCGAATGAACTTTAAAATGGGAATAATTTCATGGACTGTTTTAACCTTGTGATCCTCCTGCCTCCGCCTCCCAAAGTGCTAGGATTACAGGTGTGAGCTAGTGCGCCCGACCCGGAAGGATGTTAATTGGTGTCAATACAGTCTCGTCATTCATAAAGTGTTTCTTATGTTAGCAAAGGAGTTACATATTTATTAAATATTAGAATAAAAACAGGATTTTAAAAAGTTTGTATATGTTTAAGGGATCCAAATGCAATTTTGTTGCATGGAGATATTTCTTAGTGGTGAAGTTGGAGCTTTTAGTGTATCCATTACCCACATACTGCACATCGCACTGGGATTCTTTTTATTTATATATTCCTAAAATCAATACATTCTATGTGTTAGAGGAATGGAAAGAGCTAATGAAGTAGTATTTTCTGGAGGAGTAGACGTTGATCTAGGCTTAAAGGATGGAAGGACTCTAGACAGGCAGAAACTGGAGTAGAGGGAATAGCATCAAAAAAGAATTGGTGCCTCAGATTCTCTTTGGCGAGTAGGATTCTCATTCTCTGGAAACCAAATTGCTTATTGATTGGGGACTGCTTCGGTATGATAGCAGGTATTTCATTATGGTTTAAGTTTTTCATTTTGTTTCATAGGTTGGTTGCCCATGTTTTCTTCAATAACTAATATTGGTGATGAAATAAGTCTTAGAAACAGACAAAAAGACTGTAATACTTGGCCCCTCTGTAGACATTTTTAATTGATTTATTTTGCCCTGGAAAATGCAACCATATGGTAGCAGTCAGTTTCCACCTAAGGCAACGCTTCAAAATCCTGATTCTGGATGAGAGTGGTGATGTTCCTTTGGCATCATCTTTTCCTCTGGTTCCACTCATGACCCATCTTCGCTCCCCCACCTCAGCTAATTCAAGAACTGATAATTCAAGCTAAATGATTTCACTGATGACTCTCAAATAATACTTTTAAAATATTCATTATTAATTCCACAGGTAATAGAAACTGGAGAAAGTAAACAACCAGCATGATCTCTTACAATGGGTATGTTTTTATGTACTTATAATATGTGTCACCAAACAACATTCAAGCTATTAATATCTGGAAATGCAGACACCTGCATTTAGCAGTGAAGTTAGACTCTGAAGACAGCACTCTCAGTTAGCACTGAAGGCAGACATAACACCTCACAGAGTGGCCTAAGGAATACTCCCAGGTACAGTGGTTTGCTATGGGTATGGAGACTGGAGACTTGAGAGATTTGAGGGTTCGTGAAGATCATTCTGGTCCCGTCGGCGTCCTGCTGCCTCCTCAACTTGTCTGGTCCTCTTGGGAGTAAGGACATCTTTCTTGGTGGTTCCCAACTGTTCAGATTGCAGGTGTGAGAACTTGGCTGAAAAGGAGGTTAGAATTCTCCCAGGTGGGCATAGGGGACAGTGTGTAGAAAGAAATCCTCAAATTTCGTGTGCATCTTCACTTCCGGTTGAAGAATCCTCTACTTCCTGTACATCTTCATTTCTGGTTGTTCCTGGATTATTATTATTTTTTCATTTCAGTCAGTCAGTCTCCTTCTCAGTAGAGCACAAGAGAGCTTTAAGAAAGAATAGATAAACTTTTGTTTATTGTAGTTTATTTAAATTACTTCTCAGGATAGTGCAGCATGTTTATTTGTCATTGAATAGGTATTTCTGCTGTTTAAATTCAATAAACAACTTCTTTGCAAGCCTCACTGTGGGTGGACTAAAAACCAGTTTTTACTAGTCATTCACACTGGAACACAATTTCAATGTGGTAGGTAAGATATTTCAATCTAGTAGGTAAGCTCTGTGTGTGCTTGTGTGAGTGTATATGTTAGTGTGTGAGAAAGTGTGAGTGTGTGGGTACATATGTGTTTGTGTGTGACTGTGTGTATATGTCTCTGTGTGAATGTATCTAAGAGTAACTGTGAGAGTGTGAGCATATATATGAGTGTGTTATGCTTCTGTGTGTGTGAGAGTGTGTGAGCATGTAAAAACAAGGCAGAATATGAGAGGCAGCCCTGGTAATGCAAAGCATCTTGGATTGGGAACCTGAAGATCAAGGTATATGCTAAGACGTGGTTTTGCTGTTTCTTAACTGTGTAAACTTGAAAGTATCTTTGAGGTTTTGTTTCTTTGTCAAAAACTGACACCTATTCAACTCATATTTACCAACTGTCTTCTATGTGCCAAGCATACAATGAGGTAACAGTAATAATATTTTTCTCACTGGCATCATTGAATTGTTAAAACCACAAATAAGACGTGGTAGTCAGAAAGCCTTGAGATTGCTGTGAAATTTTCTAAGCAGCATCATCTTATAACAAGCATGAATAGTGATGCAAATTACATGCTACAGAATTCAAAGGTAAAAACACAAATGAAGATCCATACATCCTATGTGTTAGAGGAATGGAAAGAGCTAATGAAGTAGTGTTTTGTGGAGGAGTAGATGCTGACCTAGGCTTGAAGGATGGAAGGACTCTCGACAGGCAGAAACTGGAGTGGAGAGAATAGCATCAAAAAAGAATTGGTCCCTCAGATTCTCTTTGGCAAGTAGAATTCATATTCTCTGGAAACCAAATTGTTTATCGATTCTCTGGGACTGCTTCAATATGATAGCAGTAATTTTATTATGGTTTAAGTTTTTCATTTTGTTTCATAGGTTGGTTGCCCGTGTTTTCTTCAATAATATCACAGTGTTTGTAGTGAACACTTCATTCATGAGGTGGAGGCTTGTACCTCCTGAACATTTCTTGGCTTTGTGTTAGCCTTTGATTGTTTCTAAAACCATTCCCTAGGCCTGTAATACATCCATGCCTCTTGTCTGCAGAAAGTTTGAAAGTAGTGAAGTTGATCTAAACATTTTTGTGAACAAGTGAGCTGTAAGTACAGTTTCAAAGCTGCAGCAGCTGTTTGTGTCTTTGCCTTGCAATCTGGTGTCTTAACTGGAATTCTTTATGTCAGAACATAATCTACTTAAAAAGTTTCCATTTATGTCACAAATAATAAACTTGATGGCTCTTTACAACATCTAAACAGTCCCCTTAAGCTGCCTCTTCAGATGATAGTCTTCTTTCTCCAGTGAAAGACTCAAAAAGTAATCCCTTTAGGTTTCTTATGAAATATTCATTCTTTGGTATGGCTGCTAAAAATGTAATTGGCAAGCTGTGTCTCTACCATATCCACAGCCTATAGTATTATTAAATATGAAGTATGATACTCAAGTATATCCTATAGTTTAGGTTTAAAATATGTATGCTATGTGTATAAAATAAATTATAAGACACACACACACACACACACACACACACACACACACACACACACAGTCTAAGAAGATAGAAAGTTTTTAAAGAAAGTTGGTGGATTGCCTGAGGTCAGGAGTTCGAGACCAGCGTGGCCAACATGGTGAAACCCCATCTCTACTAAAAATACAAAAATTAGCCAGGCACAGTGGTGGGTGCCTGTAATCCCAGCTACTTGGGAGGCTGAGGCAGGAGAATTGCTTGAACCCGGGAGGCAGAGCTTGCAGTGAGCTGAGATTGCACCACTGCATTCCAGCCTGGGTGACAGAGCAAGAGTTCATCTCAAAAAAAAAAAAAAAAAAAAAGAAAGAAAGTAAGTCTTTGCTGGTGGTTGGTGGTTTTAACAGCTTCATCACACATTTACTGACATCAGGCCACTAGAACTGAATCAGCAGTCCATCCATATTCCTACCTTTGTTTTTTTCTTCTTCTTCCTCTTCCTCACTTCTTTGCTGTATCATCTCCATATTGCCCTCTAATCTGCATCATCATCTTCAAGCACCCATTTGTATTTTCCTAGACTTTACTGAAGATCTATTGCCTTTTCCTTTTAAGCAATCCTATACTGTTACTTGCCCAAAAGTGAAAGCAGAAATGAAAGTACCATGGATCACACTAACACCATGCAAAAGGCTCTCCTTTTCCATTTCATTCATTGATATAGACTGAGACAATAGACCTGTCATCAGCATGAGATAATTAACACTGTCCTGGCTAATTGGTTGAACTGAGAATAAAAAGATTAGCCACCACCTGGCCCCATTCCTCAGCAAGCCATGCCTGGAAAGCTTTCTTTTAGACCAGAGTCAACAGTCAACTTGCTGAACTTGGAAAATAGGTACATACCTCTCTTAATTTTTAGTTTTGGACTAATTCGTCTTCTAAAAAGACAACATCCTTAAAATGAAAAAATGCGTTTATTGCAATAAAATCATGAATAGTTTAGCAGTAAGTAGACACGGCTAAAGAAAGAACTAGTAAATAGGAAGACAAATGTGAAGAAGTAAACCAGAATATAGCTTATAGAAAAAGGTGACTGACAATAGAAAATCGAGTGTAAGAGACACAGAGGTTATAATGAGAAGATCTAGCATTTTAAATTTGAGACAACAGAGAGAATGAGGAGGCAATATTTGGCTGTATAGTGGATGAGCTGTTTTCAGAACTGGTGATAGATTTGAATAATCAGAGATGTGAACAAAATTTCCAAACATGAAAATAAAAAGAAATCTACCCCTCTATACGTTGTGGTGGAACTGGGGTGTACCAAAGACAAAAAGATGATTTTAAAATTATTCTCTTTTCCAGAAAGGAACAAAAATTAGACTGATAGCAACCATGAATGCTGTGTTGAGATGGAGTAGCTGTCAATTTTAAGTTGTTTAGCAAGTAAAACTGTATTTCAGGAACCAAAACCAAATAGATCTTCAGATGAACAAAACTGAGACGTTACTATCATTAGGTTCTAAGTAAAGGAACATTTAAAACTGTACTTCAGATGAAATAAAAATGACTCTAGAAGGAATTTCTGATATATAAGAAGGAATGTGAGCCAAGAAATGGATAAACATGTAGATAAATCTAAATAATTAGTGACAGTATAAAATAATACTAACAATGTCTATTTTGTAGGGCAAAATAATAAGGCAGAACTAAAATACTGAATGACATTAGTTTATAAATTTGAAGGAGGGTGACAAAAGTTAAAACATTCTCTAGTTTCAGCATTATTTGATTAGATAATTAAGATAATGATTAACCTGAGACGTTGATATTTAGATATGCTACAATTCCAAGGACAGAATAAGAAAGAATTCAATTAAAGCAGTAGAGAAAAATTGAAATGAAAATCAAGATAAGTTAGGAGAGAAAAAGAAACATGGAGTAGGACAAATAGAAAGCACAGAGTAAGATGATAGAAATGAATCAAAATATACCAATAGCCACATAAATGTAAATGGACCATTTTCACTAGTAACAAGACAGATTGTCAGACTTGATGAAAGCCCAGTGCATTTCTATGCTGTTTATGAGAAGCATGCCTAAAACATATGGAACGCTAAATATGGGCTCCAGGAGACATTTGCAAAAATGTTCCTGGAGGCATTGTTTCTTACAGAAACAAACATGAAAACTGGATACGACCTGAATGTTCTTCAATAGGAAAATGTTTAAACATATAGTGACATTAGTTGGTATAATATAAACAATAAAAATATATTAATGACAACTTTATAGAGCAACATGGATGAATCTCAAAAACATGTTTTCAGATATACAGCATGTTTATAAATTTCAAACATACGATATTTAATTACTATATATTGAGTAAAGCCTACTAAAATGATTGTATTCATATCTAGAAAATCCAGAGTAATTCTCCCTCTGTGTGAGTGCTGAGTCGAGGAACTACCAGACCAGTTTCATGGGAATGTGACCTGTGACACAGAGCCCTGAGTTTAGAAGGACCCTAGGTGTGATTTCATGTTGTGTTGTCACCATCTAGAAATCCTTAATAATTTTGAACAAGAGACCTTGCATTTTGCACTGGGCCCCTCAAATTATGCAGCTGGTCCTGGGGGATACAAACATGGAGTGATAGAGAAGAGATTTGAGTTGTACTGGTGATGTTCTTTCTTAATCTAGATGGTGATTTGTTTTATCTACTTATATAGAGTGTTACACATATTGTGTGTGTATGAAATATCTTGTTTTTCAAATTAATCTCAAAATGTTGCCTCTTGAGCCACTGGTTTATAATACTCATCAGAAATACCCAGGCAAAAGAGTCACATTGTCACCACCTAGGTGGAATGAAATATCTCATTTATGTGGCTGTGATGTAGAAATTGGTCTGAGTTGTTGAGTAATTATACTTAAGCATATGCTTTCGACTCTATAAAACCCGTGTGAGTAATATCAGTTTGAGGGAAAGAAGAGCTCTCCGTGTTTCTTTACACAGTTGGGATACCCAGCTGCTCTGGTTTGCATATTGCAAGTGCATTTCCTTTGCAAACTTGTTAGCTCCTGCATTATTTGGAGGCTCTGCTTTTTAAAGCAGGCAGCATTTAAAAACTACAGGGCAGAACCTATCTGATTCTATTGCTGTCACCAGCAGCTGGTGCACCCAGTGTCCTCTGAGGAAGTTAGCTGCCGTCTAGCTACCGTGAATATTGTGTGAACATAGCACATCTGTGATAGTGGCTTACTGCGCTTGTGCGACTGTAGAGGCCAACGTGCCATTCGTGTATGGTTTGGCAGCTTCAAAATTCACACATAGAAACAGCTGGTGAAAGAGTTTGCTAAGTGGTGCACCCCCTTTTAATCCAGCCACCTGGATGATTCGGAGAGGCACAATGTGGCCATCACTCTTTAATGCGTTGCATGGTAGCTGCATTGGCCAAAACTTCTTGGGAGTTTTCAAAAGCAATACAACACAATGTTCAGTTTTTCTGTGCTGCTCCCAAAGAACTCTTGGTTGCTTCAGCTTAAATGTATCCCTTAAGTACATCTTAACTCTGACCTTCAATTCCCTTTTACTATCCTGTCATTATGCGTCTACTCTCTCAAGTGCAGTAAAGTGCGGGGACTCTGATATTATGCATTCATTCCTTCAGTCACTCAATAAACATTTATAGAACATCTTAAATCTTAACTTGCACTTACACATCTTAAAGCCTTGGTTCACTCTGCCTCATCCTTCTTCTGTTTGTGTCCTTTTTTCTAGTGACTCTGATTTACTCTTTATGACAATGTTTTTCAAGCTCTGCTCCATTCCGTCTTTCCACTAATCCAGTCATGGTCTTTCCTATTTTGCAGTAGATCATGTAATCTGTTGTGCTGCTTAGGGGTTCCTTGATGAATTCCTACATGGCAGAAATTAAAATGAAATGTAACTTTTGAGAAACATACCTCAAATAAATCACAAGCTTCACCCTGCACCTGTTGCTTGCAAACACAGTGATCTGCCTACTAAAGGGCAAAAGGATGATGTCTATTGCAAAGAATTGGATGCTTTTCATTGAAAATACAGGTTACATTGCAAAAACTTTCAAATGTTGCCAAGGTAACTGTAATCATTATGCTACCATTTAGTCAAATTTGGTGTCTAGGTAATCTTAGTGGCAGAAGTCTCAGCCTGAATTAAACCAACAATTAGTTGAACACTTATTATGTGCAAGGCATATGGACATACACAAAAGTGCAAGATATTCTTCACTTCTTTGAGGAGCTTAAATCTCATTGTAGGGATCTAAACATATAAAAGGAAATTAACAGTACAAAGTGAAGTGGCCTACAAGTCATTCAGATATTAAGTGAAGTAGGAAAACAAAGCATAAAAGAATAATTATTGGTGGGCAGGATCATCAGAGAAAAATGGGGGCAAAGGACATTCCCCATGTTTAATTAGGCTCTTTCTGGAGTCGGGTAGACATATTACTTCTACAGAGAAAAACACTCGGATTACTCTATTCATTACTTCTTCATTGCTTGAGACAGATTTATTTTGAATTATTATTGAACATTTTCCTTTTTGTATTTCTTTCAAATTGAGTGCACATTTGCCCAATTTAATTGCTTATTTGTTTCCTTGGAAGATTTTGTCATTGAATTTTTTTCTTCTAGGAATTGAATCCTTATTTTGGGGTTATGTGTTTCTCTTTTGTTGTTAATAATGAATTTGATTCATTGCAAGCTAATTAGACCTACTGTAGGAAAAAAAGAGCTATTAAATGTCAGCACATTGTAGTGAAAAGGCCACATTGTCTTAGACTAGGATGGGCGTGAGTTTGAATCTTGCTATGTGACTTTATTCAATTTATTTAGTGTCTTAGCCTTTCTTTATTTGATAAATGTGTATGTTTCACTTAATATTTATTTTAAAGGCTTGATGATAGGATTACATGAGATAACATGTATAATACTTCCGTTTCACTCCTAGAAAGTGCCCCATAAATACTAGCAACTATCGTTATTATTGGCCTTTTCTAATTATCTCAATTAATTTCATATACGTGAGAGGACTTCCACTGATTACACAAAAGGATACTGCATTTCAATGACATATTTTAAGGTCATTGGATTAAGTGAAGAACTTTTAAAAGTTAATACTTTTAGGAATTGTACTGACTGGAGAACATTCTCTTTTGTTCATGTTCAGATTTTAATCGCACTTCACGGGTGGTCTGCCAGTTGCGTGCTAGTCTTTTCTTTCTTTCTTTCTTTTCTTTTTTTTTTTTTAAAGAAGAATATCTGTAATTCTTGAAGTGGGTATTTTACCAATTTTCACATGCTTTGTTTTCTCTTCTCAAATCAACATGTCTATGTATTTATATAATTCAGAGTTCAAACAACATTCATTACATTGCTGTCACCGTACATAAAGACAATCAAAACTTGTTATGCCCAAATCTAAAACATGACCCAAATAAGTGAACAGATGTGTCGCATGACCAAAGCTTCACCATGTTGTTCCTATTTATCATCTGTGTTTGGAGGGTGTGCCTAGCGCTGTGAGGTGGTGGATTAAAGGTTTTGCCAATTGCCCTTATTTAATGAAACATTTTATGCACACTTTGTTCCTCTATTCTTTTGCACTGCCCTTTGGGTGACAGAATGGTTTTAAGAAGTTTGGTCAAACTTGTCAAGCCTTTGAAATGGTTCTAAAACTGTTTTTATGGTTGTAAAATTATATTTAGTCCAAATAAAACCATATTTATTTAATTTTGGAGCTGAAATAATGAGCTTTCAAAATGCAAGCCATCCAGAAATATTCCATCAAGTTTTCAAAATTTATACTTTGCTCTTCTAATTTTATTGTGGTTATTTTCTGTTCCTTTCTTGCACCCTTTCCATATAATGAGAATGTGAAAACACAAGCAATTCTCTATGGAAAACAGATCCATCATCCTGAGCTGGAAGTCTTCATGAAAGCAAAATTTAAAAAAATAGGAGTTGTGTTGGTAGGATTTCCCCTTAGGCTGTTTCTTTTATCTGTATTAGTCTTGGAAAGTAAGGGACATCAGGCCTCCCATCATCAGTAAGCCCAAAGGGTTCAGGCTCTGTTCAGGCCCCACTTAAGGGTTCATCACCAGTATTTGAAGCAAGTGCATTAGAATCTTGAAGGAAAACATCAATTTGGTTCACCTGGCTCCAGTATACCTCTTTATTAATATTTAATTAAAAAACCCAGATTAGCTGGAAAGGATTGAAATTTCAGGAAGAAATGAAGTACAAGTTCTGTATCCCTCCAGATGCAGTGTTTCCACTGTTACAATGTTTACAATGTTAGCTAGGAATCTCTAGTCCCTCTTTTTTCATCTTTCTCATTTTCCACTGGCTGTGGTATGTTTCTGTATTCCTGGTGGTGGAGGGCAGTTTACACTGGTTAATATCCAACCATGTACAACAGGTACTACCCTCATGACAAGACAAGGAAGAGCAGAGAACATATACCTGACAATAAACTGCCTGAGTTCAAATGATTCTCCTACTTACTTCGTGTGGTAATAGACAAGGAAGTCAACCTCCTCTAATTCGTGTTTCCTTACCTGTACAAGTGGGGATACCATTCGATGGCTTCATCAAAGGCTGTGTTTTAGAACAGTAGCAAAATTGCCAACTGCCTCCTCTCCACATGCTGGGTCTTGCTTGACTTAAAAAAAAAATGATGCAATAGGCGTTTCAGCAGAGAATGAGACAGGCGACAGCCGAAGGGTTTGGGGTGTTTCTTTTGGGGTTCCTATAAATACGGTATTACTCATCCTGCCTTCAGGCCTCTGCCAAAGGTGTGATTCTTCTTTTCTGGGGCAGGAAAAGACTTCTGAGCTGGCTCTCATGCTGGTGATGGTAGCCCCTAGGTGTTTGCCCACAGCCCACAGTCAAGCTCTATAGGGAGGTCCTGAACTTAGATGTTCTAGACTTACTGCTAATGAAACCCAAACTGTGGTCCCTGGGTGACTTATAACTCAGATCATCTGAGAAAGGATCAAAAGTGACATCCTATCACAACTTATTTTCCTGATGCAGAAAACTGCAGGGCAGATTTTAGTTTTTCCTTTTAGCTTAATTCCCTAATTGAAACATTAAAAAAGCAAGCAAGCCTAATTTTAAAAAGGAGGCTTTAATCAAGAGATTCTGCAGTTACTATGTTTTCTCCTCTCCATGCAGTTTATCTATTGGAAATGGGACGTGCATATCTTGAACTTCACTTGCTTAGTAGTGCCCATGTATTAACCCTGGGTGTTCTGCAAGAAAAAAAAATTGCATGATATCAGAGAGTTCAAATAAGATGTATTTAGTGTTAAATGAGATTACATATTCCCAGCAGTTCACATGGTGCCCGGTCCCTATTCAACACATAAAGACCCCTACCCTCACCCCCTCTGCCCACCACGACAGAGTTACTGTTTTAATGCCAATCATAGTAGGCTCACAAGCTATCTGCTGTTCCTCCAAATTTAGTCTTTAAGGAGTACAAATTATTCAACTACTATTTTTCTTACTATTTCTTTTTGAATTTGCTATATCATTTATCAAATATAGTTATAGCATATGGCTATGCTATAACTGCCAGAATGTAAATATTCTGGGCATAATACCTGCTCCAAACCACCTTGTCGAGGCTGTTGTGGAGAGAAAAGTTTTAAAAGCCATTTGGTTTTAGTCCAGGAACAAAGGTTCATTTAAAAATACCATGTACTACTTGCCTGTGTTTCTAAGACTCTGTTATCCATTAATTCCTCCCCCACCTCCCTGCTTCATGCTGCCTGGTTAAAGGCTTCCTGTTTAATCGTTTCATGTTTACTTCTGTGTGAGCTTATATTAATTATGTGGATCACCAGTCTCATCACCATGAAGGATGAAGATATATTTGATTTGGCAGGGGATCCCCAAGACAGCCTCATTCCTGGGCCTTCTCCCACCCCCAAGCAAAACCCAGTTTGTAATGAGGCTTTCTTTGGACACCAGACTTTCTCCTTAAGGTAATTAAAGCCTGCAGGTCTTAGTTACAAAGCTAGTTGACACGATTTAGCAGAGCACTTTGAGTTTAGACAAATGCTAGACTTGAAATGAAAGAAAGGGATTGACTCTTAGCTGCTTATTTGGAAAAGTTATTTGTGTTTGTTTGTTTTTGTTTTTGTTTTTCTTTGTGCCTGGTCAGTCCAGTTTCTGAATACCTGGTTACCTTCACTGTGGGTTGGGACCATATCTAGCTGTCTCAGAGAGGCTTGTCCTGACACCTTTCTATTTGCTGAGGCCCACCAGTGCTTCCCCTGGCTGTTCAAGGTAGAGCCTATTTCACTGGGAACCTGTAGGCACCACTGAGAGGTCTGGCCAGAGGTGACCTTAAGGCTTGTCTGTTTTATCCATGGGTTACTAGGCTGTGCAAAGACTATGTTACTCAGAGAAAAAAAGAACTGATTCTAGTCCTACCCCAGCAGCTAGAAAGACAGCCCTCTATCTGACCAATGGCATACTTGAAAGAAATAATATTTTGAGAGGCAAATGATCAGTTAAACAAAATAGGATAAATTTGAGAAATTCTTCAGGTCAGGTTAAACAGAATTTCTACATGTCAAAATAAACAGAAATATTCTCCTAAGTTCCAAGATCTAACAATCTGATTGATGAGTATAGATCATAGCAGTGGAGATATGCATAATGGACTCTTTTGGGGAAGGGGAGAGAAAATACAGTAATTCTATGATGTTTTTATTTTAAAAACCTAGAGTTAAAGCCTTAATTATCTGCTTGTTGATTGAAAACAGTATGTGCACATTAAATATTTTACGGAAGAGTATGACTGCTGAATGTATCTACAGAATTAGTCTCTTCTCAAGGGTACTCATTCTAACTCAACCATGGTGTTTTGAGGCTGCAAAGAGTTCTTGGAAAAGAAGATGGGACCAAATTTGAAGCTGATTCTCTGGGCCAAGGGAATGGGCTAGGGAAACATACTGGTTAAAGACAACTCAAAAAGAGGAGGGCAGAAATTAAGGCACAGTGTCTGAAGGCTAGCAATTTGATGAAGATTGTGGGGACAGTTAACACTAGATATTTATCTTCTATTCCACAAACCTTTGGAAGGCACAGTATTCACAGTGTTCTAGGTATGGTGAAAACTTGGATCTAGGAAAGATATCTACCTTCACTCTAATGGTTTATAGTCTAGAAAGGAAAGACAAGCATTCGAATAAATAAAAGATATGAAACCGTGCAGTGTGATGGCAAATGGAGGAAGATGGCTCAGTGGGACTTTTGGGAAGATGTACGCATTAAGAGGGAATAGAAGAGGCTTCATAGAGAATGCAGAGGGAAATCTGATGGGATGTGGGCTTCATGAAATCAGCCAAGATATTTGTATATAAAAGCTCTACTTACCAGGATATACCAATCTTAGATTAAGCAAATAAGGTGGAAGGAATTGAGCTGTAATATTCACCCCAAAGCACTGCAAAAGGGGACTTAGAGGTCAGTCAACAGTATGGGACGAGGGAGGCACTGGATAATCTGCAGAATGTGTTCGTGGATAGTTAGATTTCAGAAACTGAGATTGGCCAAAGGAAAATATTACGTATCAAGGGATCTCCCGGGGATTATTCGAAACAAAATTTCTCAGCATCAGTTGTACAATAGAATCACCCGGTGAGCTCTTGCACACGTATTTTCATAACCGAGTCCAACTCCCAGAGCTTCAGGGGAGGGGCATAGGCATGTTATAAGGGTTCTCAAAGGGATTCTAACATGCAATCAAGTAGAATCACTGATTTAGAATAGTTGGTCAGAAGGATGAAGAGGACAGCAAGGAAGATCCACAAATA
Organism: Homo sapiens; assembly: GCF_000001405.40. Lineage (NCBI taxonomy): Eukaryota > Metazoa > Chordata > Mammalia > Primates > Hominidae > Homo > Homo sapiens. The sequence goes on along the minus strand of NC_000006.12, from coordinate 9,975,574 downwards.
TACCAACTGGGTCACTGGTTTTCAAATTTGAGCATGCATCAGCTTCCCCTAGATATTAAAACAGATTGTGGTGCCCTACCTCCAGAGTGTCTGATTTATTAGGTCTGGGGTGAGGTCCTAGAAGTTGCATTTCTCAGTAGTTTCTAGGAGACACTGATGCTACTGGTCCAGGGACTTCAAGTACCACTAGAGCAGATAAACTGTGGAGGGAAAAGGATTTGTGTGATATGATAGAATAAGACATACATATTTGGTCTTAGTGCTGGGGTTCCTGGCACAGAACTTCTAAAACACTCATAAGCTGATGAGCGTTGGGGTGAAAGGAACATGTTTTGTTATTCACAATAAGCCCCTTTCAAATGCATCCGAGTTTACACTAATGAGAAGACTGGTGGCTGGGTGTCCCTAGATAGCTTGAGGATGGAAGATGGTCACCAGAAAGACCAAGCCATGATTAGAAGATTGGAACTTTCAGCATCCCTCCCTTCCTCCACATCCCTGGCCTCCAGGGAGGAGAGGAGGCTGGAGATTGAGCTGATCGTCCATAGCCAATGATTTAACTAATCACGTCTACATAATGGAACCTCCATAAAACCCCTAAACAATGAGGTTATGAACCTCCATAAAACCCCTAAACCCCTCCATAAAACCACTAAACCCAGGAAGGTTTCTGGGTTGATGGATGGATCCATGTGCAAGGAGCGTGGTGCATCCAAACTCCATGGAGACAGAAGCTCCTGTGCTTGGGACTCTTCTGGACCTCGCGTTGTGTACCTCTGCATCTGGCTGTTCACCTGTATCCCTTATCTTAAACCAGTAATAGCAAGCAAAGTGTCCCCCTGAGTTCTGTTAGCCGTTATAGCAAATGATTCCACTTGAGGGGGAGGTCATGAGAGGCTCCAACTTGCAGCCAAGTTGGACAGGAGCTGTGGGTGACCTGGGGACCTACTACTTGTAACTGGTGTCTGAAGTAGGGGGCAGACTTGTGGGGCTGAGCCTTTAACTTGTGGGGTCTACGCTACCTCTGAGTGGTTAGTGTGAACATTGAGTTAAACTGTAGGACACCAGTGAGTGTCCACAAATAACTGGAGAATTGCTTGGTGTGAAAACCAAAACCCACACATTTGGTATCAGAAGTGTTAGAAGTGACTTCTCTTTCAACTTGCAGCTTGGGGTAACATTGGCATGGTGGGCTCACTGGTGAGGCCTTGGACCTGACTGGCATTGCCACAACTTGGGCAATAGCAGCTGTGATCAGTTTATGAGTAATATCTTGCTACTAATAGTAGTTTATGATATAAAATCTTGCTGCTCAAACCAGGTTCCCCAGACTAGCAGCATAGGCATCATGGAGATGTGTGCTAGAAATGCGGAACCTCAGACCCCACCCCAGAGCCAAGATCTGTATCTTAACAAGAGCTGCACATAATTTACATGCATTCTGAAGTTGGAGACTCGCAACAGTAGTTCTTAGTCTTGGTTTCACATTATAATTTGTTGGAAAGTCCCACATCACACCAATTAAGTTGGAATCTCCAGGAGTAGAACCTAGTATTAGTATCTTTAAAGCTCCCTAGGCGAATCCAGTGTGTGGCTAACATTGATAACCACTGATCTGGAATTTGATTTGAAATGCTGTGGTCAAGTTTGTTGCTGGACTTGATTTGATTTGCACAACTCAGGAAATGGAAAGGTATTAAACCCACACATGGAGGACATTGGTGTATTCAGCTGGAGGTAAATGGGACAGCAGAAACAGGGATGGTGACACAGATAATGACAAAATAATATCAGTCTCACTTGCTTCCTTAGAAGACGTTTATTGCCAGGCTGAATATGCAAAACCAATTGGCTGACAAAGGGAAACCACTGTGTTTCCCTTTGTCTCTTCCTGATACTCTCTCTTCCCTGATACTGTCTCTTCCCTGTTTCCCCTGGATTGAATTGACCACTTACTCATGCCCTCACGTCCCGGATGTTTCCAACACCTAAGTCTATCGTAGCACCTACCAGCGTGCTAAGCTTTATCTCCCTTGTTTATGAGTTTCTCTTCACTCGGTAGATCATATACTTTTTAATACCAGGGAAAAATCTTGTTTCTCTGTGGCATTAGCACGTAGAACTTAATAGACACAGGTATTTGTTGAATAGTTGGATAGAAAAGAACAGGGAATAATTGCTTTGAGGAAAATGTACTGTAAGTTTCAAAAATATGTTGAAAATGATATAAAATTATATATATAGTATACACAGAGCTGAAGCAAATATGCAAATAACTGTTGTTGAATCTAGGTGAAGGGAATATGTTGTTTATTGTACTATTCCTTCAGCTGTTCTCTAGCTTTAAATATTTAAAATAAATAGGGTTGTGAGAAAATATATTTGAAATAGTCCTTACATTATTTTTCTAAATTAAGAGCCATTTCTTTAAATAAGTGTTAGAAAAATGAAACACATTTTTATTTTTTATAAACTTCACAAAATTTCCTTTCCTTACTTAGGTATACTTTTATTTCTGAAGAGACTTAGGGTTACTTTTGTACTAACCAAGACTGATTGAAAGCCAAAGAAATAATGTGTGTAATACTGATGAAAAGCTCTTCTATTATGAGTGTTGTGATTTGGTAGAACTATTCAAATTGCCTGTTTATGTTTATTTACTTATCTTAATCTGAATTTCCACATTAACCTCACCTGGACAAAATGCCCTATATAATTTTGAAAATTCATTTTGTTTTTCTTAAATTTTCATCTCGTTATTTATAATGCTTTGGTCTAAAATGGCAATTTAGATTATAATTGATGGTATTAATTTATCTTTCTGTCGTATGAAGGCTATTCATCACCAGGCTGATACTAGTTTATATAGAATTCTACTTTTTCACCTACAAAATCCTAAAAACAATGTATTTTTGTTCATGTTCTTTGTGACTAGCAAAAATATTGGCCTGTGAAATGTTTGCGTCTGTCTTTGGAATCTTTATTAAAGAACTTTCCTGACTGGGCATGGTGGCTCATGCCTGTAATTCTGGCACTTTGGGAGGCCGAGATGAATAGATCTCTTGAGCCCAAGGGTTAGAGACCAGATTGTGTAACATGGCAAAACCTTGTCTCTACAAAAATGCAAAAATATTAGCTAGATGTGGTGGCATAGTCCTGTAGTCCCAGCTACTTGGGAGGCTCAGGTGGGAGGATTACCTGAACCTGGGGAGGTTGAGGCTGCAGTGAGCCGTGATTGCACAACTGCACTCTAGCCTGGGTGACAGATTTAGATCCCATCTCAAAAAAACCCAAAAAAAACAAAACCAACCAGACAAAACCCCCAACTTTGCTAACTATATTGCAGAAATGGAAGTTATTCTGTTTCTGTGTAATAAGAAATGTGACCTCCCTCTTGCTCAAAAAATGAATAATCACTCAGCACTTTCAGAGGCGAAGGTGGATGGATCATGAGGTCAGGAGTTCAAGACCAGCCTGGCCAATATGGTGAAACCCCATCTCTAATAAAAATACAAAAACTACGGGAGGAGCCAAGATGGCCGAATAGGAACAGCTCCGGTCTACAGCTCCCAGCGTGAGCGACGCAGAAGATGGGTGATTTCTGCATTTCCATCTGAGGTACCGGGTTCATCTCACTAGGGAGTGCCAGACAGTGGGCTCAGGCCAGTGGGTGCGCGCACCGTGCTCGAGCCGAAGCAGGGCGAGGCATTTGCCTCACCTGGGAAGCGCAAGGGGTCAGGGAGTTCCCTTTCCGAGTCAAAGAAAGGGGTGACAGATGCACCTGGAAAATCGGGTCACTCCCACCCGAATATTGCGCATTTTCAGACCGGCTTAAAAAAACGGCGCACCACGAGACTATATCCCACTCCTGGCTCGGAGGGTCCTACGCCCACGGAGTCTCGCTGGTTGCTAGCACAGCAGTCTGAGATCAAACTGCAAGGCGGCAGCAAGGCTGGGGGAGGGGCGCCCGCCATTGCCCAGGCTTGCTTAGGTAAACAAAGCAGCCGGGAAGCTGGTTGGAGCCCACCACAGCTCAAGGAGGCCTGCCTGCCTCTGTAGGCTCCACCTCTGGGGGCAGGGCACAGACAAACAAAAAGACAGCAGTAACCTCTGCAGACTTAAATGTCCCTGTCTGACAGCTTTGAAGAGAGCAGTGGTTCTCCCAGCACGCAGCTGGAGATCTGAGAACGGGCAGACTGCCTCCTCAAGTGGGTCCCTGACCCCTGACCCCCGAGCAGCCTAACTGGGAGGCACCCCCCAGCAGGGGCACACTGACACCTCACACGGCAGGGTATTCCAACAGACCTGCAGCTGAGGGTCCTGTCTGTTAGAAGGAAAACTAACAGAAAGGACATCCACACCAAAAACCCATCTGTACATCACCATCATCAAAGACCAAAAGTAGATAAAACCACAAAGATGGGGAAAAAACAGAACAGAAAAACTGGAAACTCTAAAACGCAGAGAGCCTCTCCTCCTTCAAAGGAACGCAGTTCCTCACCAGCAATGGAACAAAGCTGGATGGAGAACGACTTTGACGAGCTGAGAGAAGAAGGCTTCAGACGATCAAATTACTCTGAGCTACGGGAGGACATTCAAACCAAAGGCAAAGAAGTTGAAAACTTTGAAAAAAATTTAGAAGAATGTATAACTAGAATAACCAATACAGAGAAGTGCTTAAAGGAGCTGATGGAGCTGAAAACCAAGGCTCAAGAACTACGTGAAGAATGCAGAAGCCTCAGGAGCCGATGCGATCAACTGGAAGAAAGGGTATCAGCGATGGAAGATGAAATGAATGAAATGAAGCGAGAAGGGAAGTTTAGAGAAAAAAGAATAAAAAGAAACCAGAAAAGCCTCCAAGAAATATGGGACTATGTGAAAAGACCAAATCTACGTCTGATTGGTGTACCTGAAAGTGATGGGGAGAATGGAACCAAGTTGGAAAACACGCTGCAGGATATTATCCAGGAGAACTTCCCCAATCTAGCAAGGCAGGCCAATGTTCAGATTCAGGAAATACAGAGAATGCCACAAAGATACTCCTCGAGAAGAGCAACTCCAAGACACATAATTGTCAGATTCACCAAAGTTGAAATGAAGGAAAAAATGTTAAGGGCAGCCAGAGAGAAAGGTCGGGTTACCCTCAAAGGGAAGCCCATCAGACTAACAGCGGATCTCTCGGCAGAAACCCTACAAGCCAGAAGAGAGTGGGGGCCAATATTCAACATTCTTAAAGAAAAGAATTTTCAACCCAGAATTTCATATCCAGCCAAACTAAGCTTCATAAGTGAAGGAGAAATAAAATACTTTACAGACAAGCAAATGCTGAGAGATTTTGTCACCACCAGGCCTGCCCTAAAAGAGCTCCTGAAGGAAGCGCTAAACATGGAAAGGAACAACCGGTACCAGCCGCTGCAAAATCATGCCAAAATGGAAAGACCATCGAGACTAGGAAGAAACTGCATCAACTAACGAGCAAAATCACCAGCTAACATCATAATGACAGGATCAAATTCACACATAACAATATTAACTTTAAATGTAAATGGACTAAATTCTCCCATTAAAAGACACAGACTGGCAAATTGGATAGAGTCAAGACCCATCAGTGTGCTGTATTCAGGAAACCCATCTCACGTGGAGAGAGACACATAGGCTCAAAATAAAAGGATGGAGGAAGATCTACCAAGCAAATGGAAAACAAAAAAAGGCAGGGGTTGCAATCCTAGTCTCTGATAAAACAGACTTTAAACCAACAAAGATCAAAAGAGACAAAGAAGGCCATTACATAATGGTAAAGGGATCAATTCAACAAGAAGAGCTAACTATCCTAAATATATATGCGCCCAATACAGGAGCACCCAGATTCATAAAGCAAGTCCTGAGTGACCTACAAAGAGACTTAGACTCCCACACATTAATAATGGGAGACTTTAACACCCCACTGTCAACATTAGACAGATCAACGAGACAGAAAGTCAACAAGGATACCCAGGAATTGAACTCAGCTCTGCACCAAGCGGACCTAATAGACATCTACAGAACTCTCCACCCCAAATCAACAGAATATACATTTTTTTCAGCACCACACCACACCTATTCCAAAATTGACCACATAGTTGGAAGTAAGGCTCTCCTCAGCAAATGTAAAAGAACAGAAATTATAACAAACTGTCTCTCAGACCACAGTGCAATCAAACTAGAACTCAGGATTAAGAATCTCACTCAAAACCGCTCAACTACATGGAAACTGAACAACCTGCTCCTGAATGACTACTGGGTACATAACGAAATGAAGGCAGAAATAAAGATGTTCTTTGAAACCAACGAGAACAAAGACACAACATATCAGAATCTCTGGGACGCGTTCAAAGCAGTGTGTAGAGGGAAATTTATAGCACTAAATGCCCACAAGAGAAAGCAGGAAAGATCCAAAATTGACACCCTAACATCACAATGAAAAGAACTAGAAAAGCAAGAGCAAACACATTCAAAAGCTAGCAGAAGGCAAGAAATAACTAAAATCAGAGCAGAACTGAAGGAAATAGAGACACAAAAAACCCTTCAAAAAATTAATGAATCCAGGAGCTGGTTTTTTGAAAGGATCAACAAAATTGATAGACCGCTAGCAAGACTAATAAAGAAAAAAAGAGAGAAGAATCAAATAGACACAATAAAAAATGATAAAGGGGATATCACCACCGATCCCACAGAAATACAAACTACCATCAGAGAATACTACAAACACCTGTACGCGAATAAACTAGAAAATCTAGAAGAAATGGATACATTCCTCGACACATACACTCTCCCAAGACTAAACCAGGAAGAAGTTGAATCTCTGAATAGACCAATAACAGGAGCTGAAATTGTGGCAATAATCAATAGTTTACCAACCAAAAAGAGCCCAGGACCAGATGGATTCACAGCCGAATTCTACCAGAGGTACAAGGAGGAACTGGTACCATTCCTTCTGAAACTATTCCAATCAATAGAAAAAGAGGGAATCCTCCCTAACTCATTTTATGAGGCCAGCATCATTCTGATACCAAAGCTGGGCAGAGACACAACCAAAAAAGAGAATTTTAGACCAATATCCTTGATGAACATTGATGCAAAAATCCTCAATAAAATACTGGCAAACCAAATCCAGCAGCACATCAAAAAGCTTATCCACCATGATCAAGTGGGCTTCATCCCTGGGATGCAAGGCTGGTTCAGTATATGCAAATCAATAAATGTAATCCAGCATATAAACAGAGCCAAAGACAAAAACCACATGATTATCTCAATAGATGCAGAAAAAGCCTTTGACAAAATTCAACAACCCTTCATGCTAAAAACTCTCAATAAATTAGGTATTGATGGGACGTATTTCAAAATAATAAGAGCTATCTATGACAAACCCACAGCCAATATCATACTGAATGGGCAAAAACTGGAAGCATTCCCTTTGAAAACTGGCACAAGACAGGGATGCCCTCTCTCACTGCTCCTATTCAACATAGTGTTGGAAGTTCTGGCCAGGGAAATCAGGCAGGAGAAGGAAATAAAGGGTATTCAATTAGGAAAAGAGGAAGTCAAATTGTCCTTGTTTGCAGACGACATGATTGTATATCTAGAAAACCCCATTGTCTCAGCCCCAAATCTCCTTAAGCTGATAAGCAACTTCAGCAAAGTCTCAGGATACAAAATCAATGTACAAAAATCACAAGCATTCTATCACCAACAACAGACAAACAGAGAGCCAAATCATGAGTGAACTCCCATTCACAACTGCTTCAAAGAGAATAAAATACCTAGGAATCCAACTTATGAGGGATGTGAAGGACCTCTTCAAGGAGAACTACAAACCACTGCTCAAGGAAATAAAAGAGGATACAAACAAATGGAAGAACATTCCATGCTCATGGGTAGGAAGAATCAATATCGTGAAAATGGCCATACTGCCCAAGGTAATTTACAGATTCAATGCCATCCCCATCAAGCTACCAATGACTTTCTTCACAGAATTGGAAAAAACTACTTTAAAGTTCATATGGAACCAAAAAAGAGCCCGCATCGCCAAGTCAATCCTAAGCCAAAAGAACAAAGCTGGAGGCATCACACTACCTGACTTCAAACTATACTACAAGGCTCCAGTAACGAAAACAGCATGGTACTGGTACCAAAACAGAGATATAGATCAATGGAACAGAGCAGAGCCCTCAGAAATAACGCCACATACCTACAACTATCTGATCTTTGACAAACCTGAGAAAAACAAGCAATGGGGAAAGGATTCCCTATTTAATAAATGGTGCTTGGAAAACTGGCTAGCCATATGTAGACAGCTGGAACTGGATCCCTTCCTTACACCTTATACAAAAATCAATTCAAGATGGATTAAAGATTTAAACGTTAGACCTAAAACCATAAAAACCCTAGAAGAAAACCTAGGCATTACCATTCAGGACATAGGCGTGGGCAAGGATTTCATGTCTAAAACACCAGAAGCAATGGCAACAAAAGACAAAATTGGCAAATGGGATCTAATTGAACTAAAGAGCTTCTGCACAGCAAAAGAAACTACCATCAGAGTGAACAGGCAACCTACAAAATGGGAGAAAATTTTCGCAACCTACTCATCTGACAAAGGGCTAATATCCAGAATCTACAATGAACTCAAACAAATTTACAAGAAAAAAACAACCCCATCAAAAAGTGGGCGAAGGACATGAACAGACACTTCTCAAAAGAAGACATTTATGCAGCCAAAAAACACATGAAAAAATGCTCATCATCACTAGCCATCAGAGAAATGCAAATCAAAACCACTATGAGATACCATCTCACACCAGTTAGAATGGCAATCATTAAAAAGTCAGGAGACAACAGGTGCTGGAGAGGATGTGGAGAAATAGGAACACTTTTACACTGTTGGTGGGACTGTAAACTAGTTCAACCATTGTGGAAGTCAGTGTGGCGATTCCTCAGGGATCTAGAACTAGAAATACCATTTGACCCAGCCATCCCATTACTGGGTATATACCCAAATGACTATAAATCATGCTGCTATAAAGACACATGCACACGTATGTTTATTGTGGCACTATTCACAATAGCAAAGACTTGGAACCAACCCAAATGTCCAACAACGATAGACTGGATTAAGAAAATGTGGCACATATACACCATGGAATACTATGCAGCCATAAAAAATGATGAGTTCATGTCCTTTGTAGGGACATGGATGAAATTGGAAATCATCATTCTCAGTAAACTATCACAAGAACAAAAAACCAAACACCGCATATTCTCACTCATAGGTGGGAATTGAACAATGAGATCACATGGAAACAGGAAGGGGAATATCACACTCTGGGGACTGTGGTGGGGTGGGGGGAGGGGGGACAGATAGCATTGGGAGATATACCTAATGCTAGATGACGAGTTAGTGGGTGCAGCGCACCAGCATGGCACATGTATACATATATAACTAACCTGCACAATGTGCACATGTACCCTAAAACTTAAAGTATAATAAAAAAAAAAATACAAAAACTAGCCAAGTGTGGTGGCAGGCGCCTGTAGTCCCAGCTACTCGGGAGGCTGAGGCAGGAGAATTGCTTGAACCCCGGAGGCTGAGGTTGCAGTGAGCCCAGATTGCACCACTGCACTCAAGCCTGGGTGACAGAGCAAGACTCCATCTCAAAAAAAAAAAAAGAATAATCAATGCATTTGAACTCTCCATTTAATTTATTGAGACAGGCTATCATCAAGGATTCTATAGCTGAAAATGCAATGCCATATAGATTGTTAAGTCCCTCTGAGACAGAATCAATGAAAATAAATTGTAAAGTTGTGATCCACTGAGTCAGTGACATCATTTTAGAGGAGAAGGGAAGGTGAGTAGCAGAGATCTCTCTGGAGACATGTGGCCAATGTCTAATATTCATTGAATATTAGAGGTCTGAATTTTACCCAGTATTTTCTGGTTTTTGTTTCAACTGGTCCTTAACCAGTGAAACCATATTATCTCTTAAAAACCACCTGAATAATCAGAAGGTACTTCCTTCAGGTAGCTTATTTTGATAGTTGTTGACAGCTAATTTTAATAGTTTTGCTTTCTCTTACTGTCAAAAAACCTTTTTCTTATTTTATTATTGTCTTTTTATTTGTCTCTCTCTCTCTCTCTGTCTGTCTCTGTGTCTCCTGGTTTTTCTCTCTACTGGAGGACAGTGAAAGAAGTTGACTTCTGTAGTCGAAGAAATTGACTTCATCCTCATATTAACGTCTGTGAACTTGAAAGTGGTTTATTCATTCAGTATTTATGAAGCACATGTTATAAGCCAGGTACTGTTTTTAATACTTAATATATCAGTGAGAGAGCAAAGACCCCTGCCTTCAGGGCGCTTACACAAGAATGAGAGGAAGACATGAAAATGCAATAATCATGGTAAAAAGTAAATTATCTGGCCTGGTGCAAAGAGATAAATATTGCGGGGGATTGGGGGGAAGAGCAATATACAGGGAATTAATAGTGTGTGAGTGTGTGTGTGTGTGTGTTGAAGAGTCCTTTCAATTTTTAAAAATATTGGTCAGGGTAGGTTTCCTTGAGGTAGTGACATTTTAGCAAAATCTTCAAGGTAGGAGGTGGGACATGCTTGGCATGTTCCAGGAACATCAATGAGGACAGTGTGACTGGAGTGTAATGAGAGAGACAAGAGTTATGGGAGATGAGTTGTCTTATCCTGAACAAAATGTGGAACAATGGCATAGCTTCAAAGAACAAGTAGGACTATAGTTTGAGAGTAGCCCGGGGCAAGGGGTCAAAAGAGAAGCAAGAAGACTAGTTAGGAGTTTCTTATTCTAGGGAGATGTTGGTAGTGGGTTGGACCAGGGTACTAACAATGGGGGTGGTAAGAGGTTATGGGATTGTAGATGGATTTTGAAGGTGGAGCCAACAGGATTTCCTGATGTACAGAATGTGGGGCATAAGATCAAGAGAGGACTCTGGAATAATCCTAGGCGTATTAAAATGTTCCTTTGTCTTTTCTGCTGAGAGCCTGAATCACCCCTGCAGATGCTTCCTATGCTTTTAGGAAATATTTTCACATCTTTAATACTTCCTATGGCTGTTTTCTGAAAAATCTTCCATTTTTTCACATTCTATTAAAATGTTCATAATAAGTGTGGGAAAACAATTCCCATAAAGGTCTTACACAAGGGTAATCAAAGGGAAACTGGTTTCAATTTATGAAATTTTGGAAAGAGATCAACACCATATTCTCTGACAGGTAACTGAAGAGAAGAAAAAGGGCAGATTTTTTTGAAAACTTCAGATTTTGTGGAAATGCCTCTATGTCATTGAGCATCCTCAGAAACTATCTCAGGTAGCCTTTTTTTAAGGTTTTACAATATGTGTTTATAATGTATATGTTAAGAATACATACAGATGTATACGAAAAAGAAAGACCACACATTTAGTAAAACAGATGAAATATGAAACACTTCATGAAAGAAGATATTGAAATGGATCATAAGCATATGAAAATGTACTCAATTTCATCATATATTTGTAAAAATGCAAATCAATACCATAAGGAAATATGACTACACATCCATTAGGATAGCTAAACTTTAAAACGTTATCTAATGTGATATGACAAAGTATGGAACAATCAACATTTTTGTATGTTTTTGGTGGGGATACAAACTGGTACAACCCCTTTGGAAAACTGTTTGGCAGTACCTACTGTATTGGAACACATATACATTCTATGACTTAGCAATTCTGCTCCTAGGTATATTCTCAATATATTTTGGCCAAAAGACATACAAAAATTTCAGAATTATTGGTAATATTCTCAAACTAGAAACCTCCCAAATTCTTTTTTTATTAATTTATTTTTATTTATTATTATTATTATTTTTAATTATACTTTAAGTTCTAGGGTACATGTGCCCAATGTGCAGGTTTGTTACATAAGTATACATGTGCCATGTTGGTGTGCTGCACCCATTAACTCGTCGTTTACATTAGGTATATCTCCTAATGCTATCCCTCCCCCCTCGCCCCACCCCACGACAGGCCCCAGTGTGTGGTGTTCCCCACCCTGTGTCCAAGTGTTCTCATTGTTCAATTCCCACCTGTGAGTGAGAAATGCGGTGTTTGGTTTTCTGTCCTTGCGATAGTTTGCTCAGAATGATGGTTTCCAGCTTCATCCATGTCCCTAAAAGGACGTGAACTCATCCTTTTTTATGGCTCCATACTATTCCGTGGTGTATACGTGCCACATTTTCTTAACCCAGTCTATCATTGTTGGACATTTGGGTTGGTTCCAAGTGCTATTGTGAATAGTGCCACAATAAACATATGTGTGCATTTGTCTTTATAGCAGCATGATTTATAATCCTCTGGGTATATACCCAGTAATGGGATGGCTGGGTCAAATGTTATTTCTAGTTCTAGATCCTTGAGGAATCGCCACACTGTCTTCCACAATGGTTGAACTAGTTTACAGTCCCACCAACAGTGTAAAAGTTTTCCTATTTCTCCACGTCCTCTCCAGCACCTGTTGTTTCCTGACTTTTTAATGATCGCCATTCTAACTGGTGTGGGATGGTATCTCACTGTGGTTTTGATTTGCATTTCTCTGATGGCCAGTGATGGTGAGCATTTTTTCATGTGTCTGTTGGCAGCATAAGTGTCTTCTTTTGAGAAGTGTCTGTTTATATCCTCTGCCCACTCAGATAGCATTTTAATAGACATCGTGAATACTTGAGTCAGGACCTTCCTCAGTGAGCTCCTGAGTCAGGATCTTCCACTCCCAGGTCTTTCATTTGTGTCTAAGGTGTGACTAGTTATATTAAAATTATAACTCTCTTGGATTGTTTCCCATCTCGTAGAAGTCATTTCCTAAATGTGTTCAGTCCCACATATGAGAGATTTTGGTAGATTTCCAATATTCTACCCATGACATATAGTGATTCTAATATCAAAGTTTTAATATTTGTCATCAAAAGTACGGTCAGTTCACTTTAACACTTGCTTTGAAAATGTGAATTTGTTTCAATGTGCATGATAAATTAGAGAATCATTTGAGTCAAACATGAATTTTGAATTTGCTTATCCACAATTATTCTGCACACCAAACCATGTAGAGATACACAAATGCCCAAACTACACACATTTCAAACACCTGCCAGCTAGCTCTATCCACAAAGGTTATCTTTTCCTACTCCTTCACATTTGTGACCTTCTGTGTACTAAAAGGAAAAAAATCTCTTTCAATATTCCAGACAAATGTAAGTGTTTTGGTTCAAGTTGCCAAGCAATTCCTGCAAAAGGAAAATGCAGTCTAGATTCAAAGAGCTTAAATGAAAATTACCAAATCCTGCGGAAGTGGTTTATTATGGGTCCTTTATGTGCCAGCAGTGGTTGATGTAGCATTTTTAAATATCACTACAATTTCCAAAGTCTTCTGCTGTTGGGAAAATCATAAATGTAGATCAGAAAGCCATCAAAGAATTTCCAGGAGTGATAGAGAAGGTAAGGAAGAAGAAGGCAGCACATTGGATCAGAATTTCAATTTTAATGATACAGCATCTATTATATTATACATACATGCCTTGAAGGACCTACCTTGCAAAGACAGGAAAACTTCCTCCATGATTAAAGACTCCGAGAGATGACTTAACTGTGGTGTCTATGCTAATGCTGGAAGTGAGGACAATGAGCCACACCTATTCACATCTGCTGTGATGGCTTTCTGTCAGATTCCAGATTACTTTCCTTGTACCACTTCACAAAAACTCACCAGTTGTCACCCTTCCCAGCCCACTTCCATGACAAACCTCCAGTCTTTTTCAAGTTAAATGCTACACGGACCGCAGTCTTTATGCATTTCTTTTTTTTTTTTGAGATGGAGTCTCGCACTGTCGTCCGAGCTGGAGTGCAGTGGCGTGATCTCGGTCACTGTAACCCCTGCCTCCCAGGTTCAAGTGATAGTGATTCTCCTTGCCTCAGCTTTCCGAGTAGCTGGGATTAGACACGCCTGCCACCACGCCTGGCTAATTTTTTTGGTATTTTTAGTAGAGACAGGGTTTCACTATGTTGGCCAGGCTAGTCTGGAACTCCTGATCTCATTATCCGCCCACCTCGGCCTCCCAAAGTGCTAGGATTACAGGTGTGAGCCACTGCGCCTGGCCTCTTTATGCATTTCTTAACCATTTAACAGGTATGAAAGTGTGATATTGTCTTTATTACGTTTCTAATTTCTTTTTTCCTAGAGACACTGTTGAAGTTTTTGAGTGTTGTTCCCCAGCTCCATTTTTATTGCACAATTTTGCATAGCGGGATGATTTTTAGAAACATATGTATGGTGTATAACAGCAGAACTTAACAGTATGGGAGGAAAACATATGTATTTTCTCAAACACAGTGACTATGTTAACTGTTAAGCTCGGACCCCTCAAATTGTTTGGTGGGCATAGTAGAGTATACTCTATCTTGGCTCAGTTATAAAATTATGAAATGATATGGGATTTTTATTAATTACTTAGTTAAAGCATGCCATTTAATGAGGGAATGGAGTCTCAGAGAGGTTAAGTGACTTGTCTGAGGCCACACAGCCAGACAGTGGCAGATCTAGAATCAGAGTCTAGGTTTCTTGACTCTTAGTCCAGTGCTCTTTCTTATTCAGGTTGGTTTAAAACAGTGGTTCTCACAGGCTCGTCCTTGCACCAGCAGCATCAGCATCACCTGCAATCTTGTTACTGATGGAGATTCAGTGGGGTGGACCCAGATGCCCTCTATGTGACCTGGCTGCACACTAAGCCTTGAGAAACACTGGTTTAGAATACACACTGTCAGGATCTCAGTGACCCAGGAGACATAAAACAATAGAAAATGGATCTAGAACAATAACCCCTGTTTGCAAGGTTATGTTAGTTTGATAATCTTCATAGATTCAAAAAGGGGTATTTAAAATATAAAGGCAATTCTAAGATCTTGGTTTTACCCATTGAAATAAGAATATACAGCACAAGACAAAAAGTAAGGTGAGCTCCAGATCAGAACTCCCTTTAGATAATATTCAGAGGGTAGAAAAAGTGAATTATCTTTTTCATGAACATTTTTTCTAACAGCAAGCTACAAAAAGCCCATATGTGTGAAAATCTCTGTGTATGTGTGAGTGGTATGTTTGAAGTTTTAATTTTGGGAATGACAAAAGTAGTAACCAAAGAAATAGTTTGGTCAGACTGAATATTTTACGGTTTGCTGGGAACTAGAAAAAGATAGAATTCAAGCAGCTGTGAATTGCCTCTCCTGGTTTCCTAACTGACAGCTGGAATATGAAGTCACGTGAGCCAGGAAAATGGGGGTCATTTCCATATATTCTTTACATCTGATGGAATTTTCAGCAGCTAGTTTTAGTTTATGTATATGAATGCTTTGAGCCAGTTCAGAACTTTTATTGGAGGACGTAGAAATGTGCATATTAGTCAAAATTCACTTTAGAGGCTTTAAATCTCCCTCAGTTATACAGAAGGATAAAAACACATTTTTCAGTAACAGTAAACTTTTCATTTGCTGTCCCAGAAGTAATAGAAGAGTGATAGAGTTTGGATATTTATCCGACCCAAATCTCATGTTGTAATGTAATCCCCAGTTTGGAGGTTGGACCTGGCGGGAGGTGTTTGGTCTTGGGGGTTGGATTTATCACAGGGCTTGGTGCTGTCCTGGTGATGGTAATTTCCCATGAGATCTGGTTGTTTAAAAGTGTGCAGCACCTCCCCCACCTCTCTCTGTCTTGCTCCTGCTCTCACCATGTGATGCGCGCGTTTCTGCTTTGGCTTCTGCCATGAGTAAAGGCCTCCCCAGAAGCCGAGCAGATGCTGGTGCTATGCTTGTACAATCTGCAGAATCGTGAGCCAATTAAACCTCTTTTCTTTATAAAGTACCCAGTCTCAGGTATTTCTTTAGAGTGATGCAAGGATGGCCTAACAGAACAACTAAGCTAAGGGCGCAGTCTAGGTATCAAACTTACCTGCCTTGGAAACCTGGATGCATGGCTTACTATGTGGCCTTGGGCGTGTTAGCTAACCTCTTGCTGCTTCAATTTCCTCATCTCTAAAACAGAGATACTATAGCTTCCTCATGTGTTATGGTGAGGATTCAATGAAATAATATAAGGAAAGCCCTGGTCTCTAAGCAATTACCGCAATATTAACATATACACTTCCAGGGAGTATGATTTTTTTTTTCTACCTCACTCTAATTTTTTTTGAGAACTTTAAGGCTCTTTGTGACTGGCTGTGTCACTTTTATCTCATTGCTGCAGTATCTATTTGATATTGTGGTTATTTATATACTAGTCATTTTCCCCCTGGGCTGTAATTTCCTTAGGGACAGGGACCAGTGTCACCCACTGCACTTAAAATTGTGTCTTTCATATATATAGTAGGTGCTCAATAAATATGTATTGAATGACTGAAAGACAAGTAAATGTGGGCCTCGGGAATAAATATAGACTATCCTTGCAATTAACTTGATGATGAAGAACATTTCTACTTAGGTGACAAGTTCAGGTAGTGGGCACAATGAATAATGTTTTTTTCTTTTGGTAGCAAAAGTGTCATTTCATGACGTTAATTTCCCATCACTTATGAGTCAACCAATGTTTTGTTCCTAGATACCTGACAAAGAGATATAAACCCACTTTGACGTGTGTATTGATATGTATAGCCAGTGTCAGGTTGAATATGAAGTAAAATGAAAGGTAGAAATGTGACCATATAAACAAATAGCCCCTGCTGTTTCTCGTTAATCCAGATGTGACACTAATCCTGAAATGCGTGCCACGGGCAGATGAAATATGCTTTGAATTACTAGCAGTGATGCATCCAGGACTGTTCATATGGCATGATTTATAGCCCAGTGTTTTCAATCAGATTCTAGAGATCAATTAATTACACTATCAATAACAAAGAAACAGGTGTGTTTTTGAAAGCCATGTGCTTGCTAAAAGTGATCTGTTTTCCCCTATTGGTGTGACCTCATAAATGCAGTTTGGGATTTTTCTTCTATCTGATTCTAGGGAAATTCCAAGTTAAATTCTTGCTTGGGTAAGGCAGGTATAGGCTTCTATTCACTGACCTTAAGCCTACACTTCAATCACAGTCTGGCTCATTAATATAATGCTTATAGTCTCTGTTAGCCAAAGCTCATTTTAGCGGTGCCATGATCAGGCTGAGTAGTGGAAGAAGTGTCTGGGCTGCCCTGAATGGCCCGAAGAGGACCTTTGCTGCTCTGAGTAAAGCATAGTTTAATGCTCCATTTAGATTAGCTGGTAAATATGATAACTATTTATTGAGATCTTTCTATGAGTTTTTGGTTCACAATATCTATTTTTCTCATCTCTCTTGAGCTTTCATTAAAACACTAGTAAAGCATTAGTGAAAGCATGCAGAATGGGAGGGAAGGTACTGCAGGTAAGAGAGGACGGTACGTTTCTGGAAAAGGAAAAAGAGTTGAGCCACCATTGGCTGATAAAGCAGAATAAGAAAAGTGATAGCCTAGAGAAGTTTTCTGGGAAAGAGGGAGCCAGGGTTCTCAGGAGAACCCCAGAGAGCTGGGCAGTAGAACAAAGTGCAGCCGCAAATAGAGGGTTTAATTGAAAGTTGAGAACAAAACCAGAGTTCTCCCCAAACCCCCCACCATACCACATACATACAACATGTGCTCCTACATACAAAGTGGTACAGAGATCTTCAAACATAGATAATTTTAAAGTAATTAATTTCAAGATTTTCATCTTCCATGTGTCCTCTTTTTCTAAAGCTAATCAGTCTTAGAAAACACTGGTTGTTCTTTCCCACCTCTCCTCTTACAATCACTGCTCAAAATGCAGGCGTACCTCTTCCATATCTCTCTTGTTATTCTAGTGAACTGCCCTGGTGCCAAACATCAACAAGAGCGATAGCAACAACTCTGAGAGGCCAACTCATAGAGCATTATAAATAATGTTTGATGACACTATGATGATGAAATCATGATGAAACTCCTTCCATTCCCATAGAAAAATAGCAACAGAGTTGATGCAGAAATATGGGTCAGTAATATTTCTCCATAGACAAATGAACTGATGTTATAAAAAAAAGTACCACCCAGGGCTGCTGCACATATGTGCACAGGTGCACTGCTTCAAAGGGGACACTCAACCCACACAGTTTGGTTTGAATGGTGCTCCCCTGAGTAGTGCAGTGTACAACCTGCAGAACTGAACACAGTGACCCTTTCCAATTTCTTTAATTTAGAGGCACTTTTAAAAATAATAACACTTTATGTGTTTGACAATTATTTATCAATATTTGTGGTATACTGCAGTTATATTTTTTCTAATTTGTGAACTAATTATAATTGAATTGAGAAGGAAAAAAGTTAATAGTGTATTATAGGCATATAGAATACAGAAAAAGTTATTTTAATTTATATAAATATTTTTGTTGCAGATGTAATAAAAGGTGTTCAACAAAATACGTATTTATTCAAGCACAAATATATAATACCTTAAAATAAAGCAATAAAATTCTGTAAGGGAAGTAAAATGGAAACCCAAGTCAAAAAAGAAGTATTATGAAACTATCAACAATAAAAATAGCGAGTTCATGTATTTTGAAAATGGATAATAGAAGGTATAAAATACTATTGTATTTATATTCCACTGGATACATTTATATGAGTGACAAAAGTTATGTAACAGGAATATTTTAAAATTTTAGTATTTATAGCATGCTAGAAATCACATTTTTAGCAAACTTATGATAGAAAATTTTGTATGTCAACCAGAAGTTATCTAAAATTTCAAAGTTGTTTTTGGGGATATGCAAACAAGAAAAGTAATTAAAGCCATATATTATATATTATTGTATTATCATATCATGTGACAGACAGGAATTTCCCTATAAGAAAAAACTCAGAATATTCTTCTCTAAAACATTTTGAAGCAAATGTCTGGAAACGTTTAGGCAAATATAATGGACACTGGTTCTTCATTCTCAAGTGGGAGAGGACAGTTTAATGTCCTCCTCCTCATCTTCCTACCCTAAAATGATGCCCTCCTACCCTAAACAGAAGAGTACTCGTGTACACAAGCATTTGTTAGTCTTTCAATTCTCTCATACTTAGCTATGAATGGTCAACCAAGGTCCATCAACCATCAGCCTATAAGCAAGGACCATCAACGATGTGAGGAAAAACGGCAACATGAAATAGAAGGACAATGGTAAGCAAACTGAGAAACTTATCCTGGGGAGAAGGAGGTGATTGAGAGATTGGAGAAATTAAAACAAAACAAACCAAAGTAAAAACTCTCTGAAAAATGAAAGTCTTACATCCATAAAACAATAATATGGTGCCAAAAAAGGAAGCATCAGATAACAGAAATGAACTCTTTGAAAGTAAAAGTATAATCACAATTATAAGAAAGAGTCAATAAGGAATTTGAAGCTGGGCCTGGTTGGCTCACACCTGTAATCCCAACACTTTGGGAGGCCGAGGTGGGTGGACCCCTTGTGGCCAGGAGTTCGAGACCATCTTGGCCAACATGGTGAAACCCCGTCTCTACTAAAAATACAAAAATTAGCTGGGCGTGGTGCACTCCTGTAATCCCAGCTATTTGGGAGGCTGAAGCATGAGAATTGCTTGAGCCCAGGTGGCTGAGGTTGCAGTGAGCTAAGATGGCACACTGCACTCCAGCCCGGGCAGCAGAGCAATGTTCTGTCTCAAAAAAAAAAAAAAAAAAAGAAGTTGGAAGACAAAGTTAAGAAAATGTCCCAGAAAGTAGGGAAAAGACGTCAAAGATTCAGAAAGTGTGGGAAATGTTGTTAAATGATGCAGAGATTTAACCCAAGGAATGAAACATTTGATGAATTGAATTTTCACAGAAAGAGTGAAGAAAGAAAATGGACCGGGAAGGGAGGCAAACAAACTATAGATGAAAGGGGCCACTTAACCTTGATGCTGGGTCTATTCTCCTTTGAGTAGTACAGGAGCCATGACACTGAACTTAGCAACTGCATGATCTTACAGTAAGCAGTATTAATATAGTCATAGTGAGAAGGCTGCTATCAGGTTTTGGTTTTTAGAATAAATTGCAGACAAAGCACAAAAATATGACACCTTCACTCATGTTTATTGAAGCACTATTCACAATAGCAAAGACAGAATCAAGCTAAGTGCCCATCAGTGGTGGATTGGATAAAGAAACTGTGGTACATTTACACCATGGAATACTATACAGCCATAAAAAGAATGAAATCATGTCATTCGCAGCAATATGGATGCAGCTGAAGGCCATTAACCTGAGTAAATTGATGCGGAAACAGAAAACGAAATATCGCATGTTTTCACTGATAAGTATGCTAAACCTTGGGCACACACATACATAAAGATGGGAACAATAGGCACCAGGGACTCCAAAAGGACAGAGGAAGTGGGGGGTGCGAGGGTTGAAAACCATTCTGTTAGGTACTATGCTCACTTCCTCGGTGACGGGAACAATAGAAGCCAAAACCTCAGCATCATGAAATATACCCTTGTAATAAACCTGCACATGTATCCCCTGAATATAAAATTAACATTTTCCTATTCAACATAATATTAGAAGTTCTGGCCAGAGGAATCAGGCAAGAGAAAGAAATAAAGGTCACCCAAATAGGAAGAGAGGAAGTTAAACTATCCCTGTTTGCTGACAACATAATCTTATATCTAGAAAACCCCATCATCTCTGCCAAAAACTCCTTAAGCTTATATATAACTTCAACAAAGTCTCAGGATACAAAATTGATGTGCAAAAGTCACTAGCATACCTATACACCAACAACAGTCAAGCTGAGAGACAAATCAGGAATGAACGCCCATTCACAATTGCCTCAAAAAGAATAAAATACCAAGGAATACAGCTAACCAGGGAGGTGAAAGATCTCTACAAGGAGAACTACAAAATACTGCTGATAGAAATCAGAGATGACACAAACAAATGGAAAAACATCCCATGCTCATGAATAGGAAGAATCAATATCGTTAAAACGGCCGTACTGCCCAAAGCAATTTATAGATTCAATGCTATGCCTATTAAACTACCACTGACATTCTTCACAGAACTAGAAAAAAACTATTTTAAAATGAGTATGGAACCAAAAAGGATCCCAAATAGCCAAGGCAGTCCTAAGCAAAAAGAGCAAAACTGGAGGCATCATGCTACCCGACTTCAAACTATACCACGGGCCTACAGTAGCCAAAACAGCATGAAACTGTGACAAAAACAGACACATAGCCCAATGGAACAGAATAGAGAACCCAGAAATACAACCGCCAACCTTCAGCTATCTGATCTTCGACAAACCTGACAAAAACAAGCAATGGGGAAAGGATTCACTATTTAACAAATGTTGCTGGGATAACTGGCTAGCCATTTGCAGAAGACTGAAACTGGACCTCTTCTTTACACTATGTACAAAAATGAACTCAAGATGGTTTAAAGATGTAAATGTAAAACCCCAAACTGTAAAAACACTGGAAGACCACCTAAGCAAGACCACTCAAGACATAGGCACGGGTAAAGATTTAATGACGAAGATGCCAAAAGCAATTGCAACAAAAGCAAAAATTGACAAATGGGATGGAAGAGCTTCTGCATAATGAAAATAAAGAAACTATCAAAAGAGTGAACAGACAACCTATAGAATGGGAGAAAATGTTTTCAAAGTCTGTGTCTGACAAAGGTCTAATATCCAGCATCTATAAGAAGTTTACATTTACAAGAAAAAACAAACGATCCCATAAAAAAGTGGAAAAAGGACATGAATAGACACTTTTCAAAGACATACATGTGGCCAACAATCATATGAAAAATAAGCTCGACACCACTGATCATTAGAGAAATGCAAATCAAATCACAATGAGGTAGCATCTCACACCAATCAGAATGGTTACTATGGGAGCTAATAATAATAATAATAATGGCTATTGTGGGAGCTAAATGATGAGAACACATGGACACATCGAGGGGAACAACACTCACTGGGGCCTATTGGAAGGTGGAGTGTTGGAGGAAGGAGAGGATCAGGAAAAAAAAGAATGGATACTAGGCTAAATTCCTGGGTGATGAAATAATCTGTACACAAACCCTCATGACACAAGTTTACCTATGTAACAAACCTGCACATGTACCCCTGAACTTAAAAGTTTAAAAAAAATTATAAATGTTGCCTTGGAAGGACCATTAAGAATCATTTACATATTAGCATGAATTGATTTCTTGATTTTCTCTTAACTTGGAAAATAAAAGTATAGTATTTTGGGGCCAGGCACCGTTGCTCATGCCTGTAATCCCAGCACTTTGGGAAGCCGAGGCAGGTGGATCACAAGGTCAAGAGAATGAGACCATCCTGGCCAACATGGTGAAACCCCATCTCTACTAAAAATAAAATAAAATAAAATAAAAACAAAATTAGCTGGGTGTGGTGGCATGTGCCTGTAGTCCCAGTTACTCAGGAGGCTGAGGCAGGAGAATCGCTTGAACCGGGGAGGCGGAGGCTGCAGTGAGCCGAGATCGCACCACTGGGCGACAGAGCAAGACTCCTCAAAAAAAAAAAAAAAAAAAGTTTAGTATTTTGGGAAAATATGAAATAGAATTTGGAGAAAGTGAGGCTTTATGAAGACAAAGTATGCCTATATAATGAATTTTTATTTACTATTTGATGATTTTTCTAGGGTCAACCTTATTTAGTACCATCAAGGAATGTACATTTTAGCTCTCTTTTATAGACTTCTAACTCCATCAGGATCTACATGCCATATTCCATGTGTAAGTTTTTGTAAAGGCATCCAGAATTACTAGTGCATTTTTTATTACTTTGACTATTGCAGAAGTGTTCAATTATACCCTATATAATTAATAAAATGTGACATTTGACCTCAAAATATAAAAGTCAAATTTAAATTAACAAAAGCACAAAATGTTGTTATAATTATTATGGTTATGACAGAATGTATATATTCAACCTGAAAATTCAAAGTAATGGTATAGTTGAGAGAGATTTGGAGAGAGATGTTGGGAAGGAATGGGTAGAAAGGGTGTGGGCCTTAAAATGCTCATGCTTTGAAAGAAGTGAGGCGATTCTCTGTAGAGGCTATGACATAACAAATAAAGGTTGGATATTATTTAATGCAACTATTAGAAGATATGAAATCTTGATACCCAGTAACTTACATAATTGGAAGTGATGTGGAGAGAAGAGAAAAAAAGAATAGTATAAATAAAATACATTTTAATCATTCATGGTAATATACCAAATTAATATACTTTGCTAGGACTGTCATAACAAAGTAGCTCAAACTGGGCAGCTTAAACAACAGAGATTTATTCTCTCTCTGTTCTGGAGGCTGGAAGTCTAAAATCAAGGTGTCAGCAGGGTCAGTTCTTTCTGACGCTTGTGAGCAACTATCTGTTCCATGCCTCCCCATAGTTTCTGGTGACTGCTGGCAGTCTTTGGCATTCCGTGGCTTGTGGAGGCATCACCCCCATCTCTTTCTTCATATTCACATGGTTTTCTTCCTGTGTGCAGTTCTGTCTCTGTCACCAAATTTCCACTTTTTATAAGGAAACAGTTGCATTTGACTATGGGTCACCTTAATGATTTCATCCGAACTCATCTGCAGTATGAGTTCATCTGAACTCATACTGAACTGAACTCTAGTACTGATGTGAAGGGATTTTGCAGTAATTAAAGTATCAATCAGTGAATCTTGAGATACAGAGATTATGTAGGTAGGATAAATTTTGTCATACAAGCCCTTTCAAACCAGAAAGTTTTCTCTGGATGGTGATAGAAAGAGAAGCCAGATCACCCTATATGCAAATAAGGTCACGTTCACATGTACTAGGGGTTAGAATGTTGACTTTTTTTTGGGTAACACCATTCAACCCCTAATCTATGACAAGATTAAGAAAACAACATAAGAAATATAATAACATAAAAAACATAAGAAATTACAATTTAAATATTTTATTACTCTTTATTATTTCAATATAATATATACATGATATCAATGATAAGATACACACCACTGCATTAATTATATTAATTACAGTAATAGAATTAACCGTCACATCAAACAAAAATCATAATAGATGAAAACTATTCACCTCTATGAGTTATGAATTGGGGTGGGTAAAAAACAGGGTGGGGGCAGATTTAGATTAACCATTTTGTTGTATTTTATTTCTTGTCATAAACATTTATTTCTTTGATGAAAATTAGAAAAAAGTTTAGTCTACTCTTTCCTGAGCAATTTATATACATTAGGTTTCTCTTTCTTAAGATGAAGCTGTAACTAGCATACAGTCAAATTCATCCTTTCTAGTATACAATTTTGTGAATTTTGACAAGTGCATACATTCAGGTAACTACAACTATGATCAAAATATGAAAGAATTCGATTACTTTCCTCCTCATTCATGCTGGATTCCCTTTCATTCCTTTGTAGCCAACTTATCCCTTTGCCCTAGCACTTGTAACCACTGATATATTTTCTGGCTCTATGTTTTGCCTTTTCCAGCAAGGCATATATGGAATTAAACATTTTGTAGGCTTTGAATCTGTATTCCTTCACCTTTAAGATTTATGTCTTTTATTACTGAATAGTATTCTATTGCATGTTTTACCATGGTTTATCCATTCACCAGCTGGGGGACATTAATCAGTGTTGTTTCTAGTTTTTAGAAATTAAAATAAAGCCACTAAAAATATTCATGTATGGATTTTTGTATATGAAATATGTTTATATTTCATTTGGGGAAATGCCTAGGAGTGGCATTGACTAATGATGTTCAGCATCTTTTCATGTGCTCATTAGCTATTCATATATCTTCTTAGCAAATGTTTATTCATATCTTTTGCCCATCCTGTAACTGGGTTGCTTGCCATCTTATTATTGAATCGTAAGTGGTGTTTATATATTCTGAATATAAGTTGTCTATTAGGTATATAAATTCAAAAGTAGTTTCTCCCAGTCTGTGGCTTGTCTTTTCCCTTCTTAATGATGTTTTGGTAAGCCTTTTTTTTTTTCTTTTTTTTCCTTCCCATGCTACACTTATGTAAGCATAATTTTAAACGTGTCTCCCCGTTTCCTGTCCTCTGGATATCCAATAACTAATCTAGGTACTGATGTGAAGGGATTTTGCAGTAATTAAAGTATTAATCAGTCGAGCTTAAGATACAGAGATTATATAGGTAGGATAAATTTTGTCACAGAAGCCCTTTCAAACCAGAAAGTTTTCTCTGGATGGTGTTAGAAAGAGAAGCCAGAGAGATTCAAAGCATAAGAAGGTTTTGATGTACACACCATTGCTGGCTTGAAGATGGAATGGGTCACAGGATGTAGAATGTGGCTACCTCTAGAAGCTAAATGTGGCTCCTCACTGACAGTCAGCAAGGAAGGGAGGCTTTCAGCCCTAAAGGTGAAAACAACTAAATCCTGTCAATAACATGAATAACATGAATGGCCCCGTGCTTCAGATAACAGTGTAGCCAGCTGACATTTTGATTTCAGTTTGAGCACAAACCAGCCATGCCCTGGCAGACTTTTGAACTATAGCATTGTGAAGCAATAAATTGGGTGTTTTGAGCAGCTAAACTTGTAATAATATGTTTTTAATTTTGAAGGTTGCTTTTTTCCATTTTTTTCTTTTAGGGTTTGTACCTTTGTTCTTATAATTAATTGTGAATAAGACTGCCAAAGTCACAGAAACTTTCACCTAGAATTTTAATAGTTTTAGCTTTTACATTTAGGACTATGACCCATTTGGGGTTAATTTTTGTGTATGAGTGTTGATTTTTTTTGAAATTTCTTATTTTGAAAATTATATTTTTTCTTTATCATATTTTATTTTAATTCTGTCAGATATTTTTCTTTAATTCTTTAAATGTGGCTTATTTTAATTCTTTGAACATAGTTATAATAAATGCTTTGAAGTCTTTGTCCGCTAAACGCAACTTCCTTATCCACTCAGAGTTAATTTTTATTGACAGTTTAGTTCCCTGAATATAGGTCACACTTTCCTTTTTTTTCTGTCTTGTAAATTTTTGTCAAGAACCAGACATCTTAGATAATATATTGTAGCAAATATAATTCTGATTTTTTTCCCCTGAGTGCTGTTATTCCTGCTTTTTGTGTGTTGTTATTGTTTTGCTTGTTTTCTTTTGTTCTGGTTTTAACTTGCCGGAACTTAATCTGTTGAATCTGTCTTCCCCATGATATGTGGCTGCTGATGTCTCTGTTTATTTTAAGAAAAATTTAAAGGTTAAGTTTATGCTGGCTTTCTAGTGGCTCCTCTGTGTCTGCATAGTTTGGTAGTCAACCAATGATTGTCCTCAAACACCTTGACCGTAAGATTTCCGTCTTCTGCTGATGGATCTGTGGGAGGGTTTGGGAGCCCATTCAACATTCAGACAGTTTTCAGACGTTCACAGAGTTTACTTTCTGCCAGGCCCTCCTGGGTCTTTCCTGTAG
Source organism: Homo sapiens (assembly GCF_000001405.40). Taxonomy (NCBI): domain Eukaryota; kingdom Metazoa; phylum Chordata; class Mammalia; order Primates; family Hominidae; genus Homo; species Homo sapiens. The sequence goes on along the minus strand of NC_000006.12, from coordinate 9,949,011 downwards.
ACTTGCATAGCATCCAAGCCCATGCAGGATGTGTAGACAGCTGGGCCCTCTTGAATCTTCCCTGCACGTGTGCACAGCCTCCCAGTTAGCCAGAGACCTGAGAAGCAATCAGCCAGCCCTTCTTTGGCCCTCTCATCTCTAGGTTCTTCCTGCCAAATTAATGACTAGTCAAATTTTCCACTGCTCCACCCAAGCGGGACTGCAATTCAGGGTGGTAGAGCCATGGGCTTTCATTTGCTTCCCATTAGTTTGCTACTTCCACTTACAATACAACTGGGTGTGGATTTTCTGCCCTAGCATCAAATGAAGTCATCTCCCTCCAACAGTGAAATTGTTGTTTTTTTGGCCAGACTTTCCCTGGCAACTTTACAACACTGGTCTGGCCGGAATAAGGTCAGGGTAGTGGGGGACTGGAGCAACCTCAACCAAGAATGCCATGGACTCCCCCAGTTCATGCCTTAATTTGAGCAGTTTTCCATTAATGAATGTTTTTCTCTGTTTGTTTTTCACCTCTGGTCATTTTCCAGAGCACTGAGATTACTGTTTTAGACTCTTTTCTTCTTGCAATTTTATAATTGTTTTTTGAAGGCTGACTTTTGACAATCTTCATTCCACCATGTTCATATCCCACATCATCATTTCTGTTTTTTTTTTTTTTTTTTTTGGAGACGGAGTCTTGCTTTGTTGCCCAGGCTGGAGTGTAGTGGTGCATTCTTGGCTCACTGCAACCTCTACCTCCCGGGTTCAAGAGATTCTTCTGCCTCAGCCTCCGGAGTAGCTGGGATTACAGGTGCACGCCACCACACCTGGCTAATTTTTGTGTATTTTTAGTAGAAACTGGGTTTTGCCATGTTGGCCAGGCTGGTGGCAAACTCCTGACCTCTGGTGATCCACCCACCTCTGCTTCCCAAAGTGTTGGGATTACAGGTGTGAGCCACGACATCCGGCCCCACATCATAATTTCTGAAAGATATTTTTCAGGGTATAAAATTTTGTATTTATGATTTTTTTTTCTGTAAAGATGTTTCCTTTGCTGCCTGCTGGTTCACATAGTTTTTGATTGTCTGCTGTAATTCGTATGTGTGTTCCTCTGTGTGTGATATGCCTCTTTGTCTGCCTTCAAGATTTTTTCTTTGCTGTTGGTTTTTTGTAGTTTGTAGATGATATATCCAGGTGTGTTTTATGCTAGTTGGTCTTCTCTGAGTTCCTTCGAATGTGAGTTTTGGTGTCCATCACTAATTTGAGGGAATTCCTAGCCACCATCCCTTCAGTGGTTTTTCTACCCTGTGCTCCCTTCTCCTTTTGCTTTCAAAATTACAGGTATGTCCGATTATTTGAATTGGTCCCATCACTCTCAGATCCTCTGCATTAACTTTTTTTTAAACTCATTAAAAAAGATCTTTGTGGTTAAATTTGAGTAATTTCTATTGGTAATAGTTTGAGTTCAACTGATTCTATCCTCAGTCATGTTGAGACTACTAATGAGGTTGTTGATAGCATTCTGAATACCATACTATTTGTAACATTTTCATTTAATTCTTTCTTATAGTTTCCATCTCTCTGCTGAAATTCCACATCTAGTCAGGTATGTTGTCCACCTTTTATATTAGGGCCTTTAACACTTTAATCACTTTATTTTTAATTATCTGACATTTTCAACACCTGGGTCACATCTGATTCTGCTTCTCTTGATTGCTTTGTCTATCTGACAGAGTGCCCCCTCTCCTCCACTCTCCCTTTGCTTTTTTATATGTCACCTGACTTTATCAGAAAGCTGGTCATTTTGGGTAGGACAGTAGAGACTGAGATAAACATTCTTTATACCCAGAAATGGCATGCCTTTTATTTTGTTAGTCTTTCAATGTGTGGGGGTCAGTCTGTCTAGCCAGGACAGGACTTGAGCTGGGTGTGGTTGTTGTTGTCGTTAAGGCTATCATCAGTGTGTCACAGGCTGAGAACTCCTCTAGTCTTAACTCATGCTTAGAGTGGTGGCTGTTAATAGGAGAAGTTTCTTCAGTGTTGGCTTAAGGTTCAAGTTTAAGCCCTTTTTTTTTTTGAGATGGAGCCTTGCTCTGTTGCCCAGGCTGGAGTGCAGTAGTGCTATTTCGGCTCACCGCAACCTCCACCTCCTGGGTTCAAGCAATTCTCCTGTCTCAGCCTCCCAAGTAGCTGGGACTATAGGCATGTGCCACCACGTCCGGCTAATTTTTGTATTTTTAGTAGAGATGGGGTTTCACCGTGTTAGCCAGGATAGTCTCGATCTCCTGATCTCGTGATTTGCCTGCCTCGGCCTCCCAAAGTTCTGGGATTACAGGCGTAAGCCACCGTGCCTGGCCATATTTAAGTCCTTTCTTTGCAGCTTTCCTTTAGACAGCGTCGCTCTTTATGTTTTTGCTCCTCTTCCACCAGGGCATTGATATTATTGGCTACTCAGTGCTTGCTAGCCTGATGGTAGGCTGCATGGATATTCTTCTCAGAATTAAGCTGGAGCTGTGTCTCTGGGTCTCAGGGATGGGGCCATCTCAGTGATCCTGTCCCTCTGCCTTAAGTAGGAGACCTCTAATAATTCGGGCCAGGAAATTTTCTTGCTCCTACCACAGGGTTACAGGGTATGTTTGTATTCTCTTCTCCCAGCTGCAAAGAGTCTTAACCTGTGGCTTGGTACAACAGGGTTCACTGCCTTTCCAACAGATGAGGCTTCTTTTCCTTAGGAGAGGTACAGATGGAATATTCAGGTAAGGCTTTGTGCTTTTCTATAGTGGCTTCTCTTCCTCTCCACAAAACCTGCATCACTAGGGAAGCTTTCTATGGACCAGGGTTTCTCAATAGCAGCTCTGTTGATATTATGGATTGGGCAATTCTTTGTCGTAGTGGACTCGTCTATGTATTGTAGGATGTTTAGCCACATTACTGGCCTCTACCCACTGGATCCCCCAAGTTGTGACAATCAAAAATATCTCCACACATTGCCAAAGGTCCCCTTGGAGGCAAAGTTTCCCCCCATTTGGATCCACCACTCTGGGCTCTCATCTTGCCCCAGTATTTATTCTGAGCACCCAGAAGGTCTATGGAGAAGAAGCTGTGAGTAGATGTGAATTTCCCTTGTGTTTGAAGACCCCACAAGTTCTATACTGTTAACTAAGCCACATTCAGACTTTAGACATTTTTGACAATTTTTGGGTGAATTCTTCTTACTGATTCGCAAGGGGTCTCCTACCTGCTCCAGTAAGCAAGTGCTTGCGTCCTGTCACTCCTTGGAGGCACTTTACTGTCTCTAGGTTTCGGATTAATCTGTCACCCTATGACCTCAGCTCTCTGATGAGTTTAATAGCATTGGTAAATTTGCAGATTACTTAGGATATTTATTGCTTTACATTTGGGAATGATGCCCTTTCCAGCTTTGGACACCTTAAGTGGAAGCTGGAAGTCTGATATACACAATCTTAAAAATTTCTCAAATATCCTGTAGAGAAACTGGAGACTTTCAGAGGTTAAGCAACTCCTCTGTGTGCAGGAGATTTGAACCAGTTCTTTCTTTCTTTTTTTTTTTGAGACGGAGTCTTGCTCTGTCTCCCAGGCTGGAGTGCAGTGGTGCGATCTCAGCTCACTGAAAGCTCTATCCCCCGGGTTCATGCCATTCTCCTTCATCAGCCTCCCGAGTAGCTGGGACTACAGACGCCCGCCACCATGCCCGGCTAATTTTTTGTATTTTTAGTAGAGACGGGGTTTCACCATGTTAGCCAGGATGGTCTCGATCTCCTGACCTTGTGATCCGCCCGCCTCTGCCTCCCAAAGTGTTGGGATTACAGGCGTGAGCCACCGCGCCCGGCCAAACCAGTTCTTTCTTAACCATACATGCCAGTCCATTCCACACTGCTGTTCTTACTCCTATGTAGAGTGATGGTGTGTTAACTATTGACTCTCCAAGGCAGGGTTTATATTCCTCTTTTTACTTATTCCTCAATGTAGATTTAGACAGTAGTGCAGAAAACTACTGGGCAGGATGAGGGGGAGAATGATGGTGGAGCAGTTTGTCATTGTGGGTACCAGGCCTCCTCTCATCTGTCTCTCAGAAGTTTCAAATTCGGATGCCTGTAGGGGCCAGGCAAGAAACATAAATGAGTTAAGTGTGCTGGGTCTATGTGGGCTCTCGTTTTCCTTGACACTTGTGGCCCTGCTTTTGTTAGTGACAGGGGAAAATCTTTCTTTGTAAGAAAAACAGCAGTGCAAGCTAAGGATTGGCAGAGTTTTTAAAATTGGGGCATACATTGTGAGGGCTCCTGGACATTCCCTATTGTCTTAGAGCCATCCATGAATATTACCTATCTGCCTTGAGATCACTTCATTCAACATTACATAAATATTTTTCAAGCACCCACTGCTTCCGAGGCTCTGCTCTTCGTTCCAAGGATGTAGCAATGACTAAAACGACGCCTTAATGGAGAGGACATTTTGGTTTGTGGTCTGCAGTAGGGAGAATGGGATCTATGGGCCTGGAGAGTATTGCCTGAAAAACACGCTGCTGCCACTCACCTCTGGCCAATTGCTGCCAACCATGAATGCTGATTCTATGTTGCCAAAGCTTTTAATTTTCCAAGACAAATCAGAAATCGGATTTCTATTTTAAGTGGCAACTTTCTTATTTTTAAATACTGGCTCAACATTTTAAAAATCACTGTGGAGGTTAAACAAAATGTGTCTGCAGACAGAATCTGGCTTGCGACCTCTGTTAAATACCATCTTTGCCCTTGCTGGTCTGCTTGAGAAGAGAAATGCAATGAAACGACAGCTGTAGCCATGTTAATTCCCTTCTCTGGAAGCAGTGAACCAGTCGTCAGAGATTTGGCAATTCCAAGGCTTAATTTGCAATCTAAGGCCAACGATTTCAGTGAAAGCCGTTTTAAAATCAGCCTTCAAATCAACAAACAACAAAATGACTATACAAATCAGCAGTGTTTATTAACCTGGACTCAAGAGAATGTGGCCAACAGGTTACTTGCAAGCAGGGGATATTGAAGTTATTAATCTGCTTGCAAGTTGGAGATTGGTTTTTAGAAAATGATCCCTATTGTAGGCCACTTGTATTTCTATAAACATGCTACACTGTGATCCAAACCTGCAGCCACAGTGTGAGTTTTGCAGTGGTGTCCGTTTGTTTATTTATTAAGTCTAGGATTCCTGATAAAGCATAAAGTTATTATTTTGGTAAATTTACAGTGTTTATAATTTCTTTTTCTTTAAGCTAGCTACTTTGGAGGTTTTTTTTGACAGTGAACGTCTTTTTTTTTATTTTTTTTTTGGGAGATGGGAGTCTTGTTCTTGCTGTGTCACCCAGGCTGGAATGCAGTGGCTCAATCTCGGCTCACTGCAACTCTCACCTCCCGGGTTCAAGGTATTCTCCTGCCTCTGCCTCCCGAGTAGCTGGGATTACAGGTGTGCATGACCACGCCTGGCTAAGTTTTAGTAGAGACGGGCTTTCACCATGTTGGCCAGGCTGGTCTCGAACTCCTGACCTCAGGCAATCCACTCGGCCTCTCAAAGTGCTGAGATAACAGGTGTGAGCTACTGCACCTGGCCAACAGTGAAGGTCTTATAGATAGTTTAGCAAATGAATCCATTTTCTGATTGGCTTCCTATTTTGCCAGTTACTCGAGCAGTCGTTTTTTGTGTTTCAAAAGGAATGTGGTAATGTGTCCGGAATTGGTGGGTTCTTGATCTCACTGACTTCAAGAATGAAGCCACAGAACCTCACGGTGGGTGTTCCAGTTCTTAAACACAGTGTCTGGCGTTTGTTCCTTCTGATGTTCGGATGTGTTAGGAATTTCTTTCTTCTGGTGAGTTCGTGATCTCGCTGGCTCAGCAGTGAAGCTGCAGACCTTCGTGGTGAGTGTTACAGCTCATAAAAGCAGTGCAGACCCAAAAAGCAAGCAGCAGTAAGATTCATTGCAAACAGCAAAAGAACAAAGTTCTCAGACCATGGAAGAGGACCAGACTGGGTTGCCACTGCAGCTCGGGCAGCCTGCTTTTATTCCCTTATCTGGCCCCACCCACATCCTGCTGATTGGTCCATTTTACAGAGAGCTGATTGCTCTATTTTACAGAGAGCTGATTGGTCCGTTTTGACAGGGTGCTGATTGGTGCATTTACAATCCCTGACCTAGACACAAAAGTTCTCTAAGTCCCCACTAGATTAGCTAGACACAGAGCACTGATTGGTGCATTCACAAACCTTGAGCTAGACACAGGGTGCTGACTGGTGCATTTACAAACCTTGAGCTAGACACAGAGTGCTGATTGGTGTATTCACAATCTCTTAGCTAGACATAAAGGTTCTCGAAGTCCCCACTAGACTCAAGAGCCCAGCTGGCTTCACTCAGTGGATCTCGCACCGGGGTGGCAGGTGGAGCTGCCTGCCAGCGCCATGCTTTGCGTCTGCAGTCCTCAGCCCTTGGGCGGTCAATGGGACCGGGTGCTGTGGAGCAGGGGGCGGCGCTCGTGGGGGAGGCTGGGGCTGTGCAAGAGCTGGGGGCGGGGGCGAGGGCAGGGGCGGCGAGGGGGAGGCTCAGGCATGGCGGGCTGCAGGTCCGAGCCCTGGCCGGCAGGAAGGCAGCTAAGGCTCGGGGAGAAATCGAGTGCAGTGTTGGTGGGCCGGCACTGCTGGGGGACCCGGCGCACCCTCCGCAGCTGCTAGCCCTGGTGATAAGCCCTGTACTGCCCGGGGCTGGCGGGGGCCAGCCGGCCTTTCCGAGTGCAGGCCGGCCAAGCCCATGCCCATACAGAACTCTAGCTGGCCCACAAGTGTGGCGCACAGCCCTGGTTCCCGCCCGCGCCTCTCCCTCCACACCTCCCGGCAAGCTCAGGGAGGCAGCTCTGGCCTCAACCAGCCCAGAGAGGGGCCCCCACAGCGCAGTGGCGGGATGAAGGGCTCCCCAAGCATGGCCAGAGTGGACACTTTGAGGCCAAGGAGGTGCCAAGAGTGAGTGAGGGCTGCAAGGGCTGCCAGCACGCTGTCATCCTTCAGTAGCTGATCATTAATAATCACTAACTTGTTGAAATTATTACATACTGACAGAATCTACTCATTGTCCTATGAACTTCTTGTTTTGATTTTCTTCACCACTCTTTGCTCACGTGTTTCTTCCGTTTCCCGTTTCCCATTTGACTGTCTATTCCTCAAAGTTCACTCTGCTGCCTGTGCACATATTTACTGGGTCCCTGCATCCTCTATACTGATCCAGCTCCTCTGGCCTCTGGAACCCAGCCTCATACGTCTTTTCTCTATCCCCACCACTTGCCAGAGCTCCTTAGGAGCTGAAGGGCTGTTTTCCAGCTTTTAACAATTCTTTCCTACTTTTGAGGTCTCTGAACTAAGCCCTGAGGAGTTGCACTGGGGACACATTTTCATGTGTCGGTATATCCATCACAGCCAACAGCTTGCCAAAATCTGTTCATGCTCTAAAGCCAGGTCACATGTTTACTGATTTTCCTTGACTCAGGATGGGCCATTTGCTTTTCATCACCCGTGTTCTGCTGGTTGTCCCCCATTTGTGAGGGTCTGACTACAACCCCCAAATTCCAGCTCATACAAACTCAGTGACTGACATGCTTTATTGAAATAATGCCTAATTGAACCTGTCAGAGATTCCCAAGTGGGGAGGCACCCTGGGCCACTCTCGTTGTTCCTGAGACAGGGCAATGGACAGCTAGCTGTACGCCTCCCCTGGTGACAGCAGCTTTTTAAAATGATACAACACTCACTTCTATCAGGCTGCCTTCTGGATTCAACTCTACATTTTGTCTGAGATAATGAGGAATTTTGATCTTATTTTACAATTATATTGGGTCTTACTCTACTGAGACTGCATTCTGAATATTTGTGCAGAAAGGCATTTAAAATGCAGCCATCTATGAAGGAAGACAAGTGGTCTGCCTTATGAAGTTTCCTGAGCATTCTATTTATGTTAATAGAGGCAACCTGGGCTTTTTGGCTTATACACTTTGGGTTATATGTCTGCAGAATACATTTTTGATGACAATAACTTGAGCAATGTTACAAATTACAAACATTTTCAAAGACAGATATTGACTATTAGATTAAGGCCAAATTCAAGGGAAAAAAATTCTGCTCCACATATGTTCCTAGAAGTAGATGCTTTTGAATTACTCTTCAGTCACTGTGCTGTGGAAAACACAAGCAAGTCAAACTTCAATTTCTGCTAATTGTTTAAATTTTTAAAATCTTGACACTGGTTTTTTCTTTTAAATAATTTTACATGTCTTTCACTTATTTTAGGAAGTAATTCAATATAATCTTTAAAACTTATGTTACTTTTACATAAAACAGTAGGAGTTTTTAAATTAGCACTAGAAGGACTAAAATCTTTCATTTTTCAACATTGATACTATTCAAAAGCTCATATACACAAAGCGTATATAATTTTTGAAAACAATAATAGATAGCTCTTGACTTTGAAAAAGTAATTTTTGAAAACAATAATAGCTCTGAATAAGAAAAGTGTCACATGTATCATTCATACATGATGGGCTTTATTTTACTGTCAAATACTGATAACCATCTCAAAAGGGCAAACTTCGAGTTTAAAATTTAAAAGAATTTTTTTTTTTTTTTTTTTTTTGAGACAGGGTCTGGCTCTGTCACCCAGGCTGGAATGCAGTGGCACCATATCACCTCACCACAACCTCTGTCTCACAGGCTCAAGCCAGCCTCCCACCTCAGCCTCCCAAGCTGGGACTCCAGGCATGTGCCACCATGCCTGGCTAATTTTTATATTTTTTGTAGAGATGGGTGTCTCACTATATTGCCCAGGCTGGTCTCAAACTCCTAAGCTCAAGCAATCCACCCACCTTGGCCTCCCAAAGTACTAGGATTACAAGTGTGAGCCACCATATATGGCCTAAAAGATTATTCTGGTGAATGTTTACAATAGTTTAATAAATGCTGAGATCATCATCATCATTCATTAAAAAAATTCCATTTATTCTAATTATCTGGGCCCAGACTGTATTCTGGTGTAGTATTTCTGTCAATTAAAATAATATCAAATGTAATCATTTGCAGATTGACCTTAATAATTTATTGTATGACTTTAAGGAGTTTTATGAGTGTTAGAACCACATTTCCTTTCATTATAATTTTTATATTTTATATCTTTGCTGGATAACGGTCTCAGGGTGTAATCTGCTTAGCCCCTCAATACACATATTTATCATTGACTTTATCAGATATTATCTACTTACGACTGTTGCACAACTGGATCATAACTTTTAAATGATAAACAGTACAGGTACCTAAGGTATGCAGCAGCAAGTTGTCATTGTAACTTCAATGCAATCTGAATTTGTCACTTTTGGGGCATAAAATAGGATATTTAAGCATCTAAATCAAATCTGAAGTTTTCCTAGAGATTGCCTTTGTAAAACATGTTGAGAATATTGACTGACCCTCAGTTTATTAGGAATCTCGCTTAAGAAATGAGCAACAACAATAAAAGTAGGACACCAGCTTATATCCTGTTGACTTTATACTTAGATTTTTTCAGAACCATTAAGTAGCACTGTAGCTGTCCAATCCCACATTGCTTAACATAGCTCATGATTGGGTCAATTTACCTTGGTTTTTAAATATTCTTTTTCTTTTTTAGAGAGACTGGATTGAAATCTGTGCATTGCCAAGGGCAAGAAGCTGAGAACATGGAGAGAGAGGTAAGATCGATGTCACAGTAGGCCCCTCCTTAATTTTTTTTCCTTTAAAAGCAAGGCTTTCAAGCTTGACTTTTCGTTTTCCATGGATGGAAAGTATAGAAGTGAGTAGAAATGTAGCCTCCTTTGTAGCACTCACGAGTAAAGAGGATGATTAACGAGTGTAGCAGGGAACATCGTAGCAAAAGAGAGTCTACGGAAGAGAAACAAAAGTGCCTCAGAATTCCCAAGGATTCCCATGATCCATAGTAGGACCTCATGGTGCCTGTCCGCTGTTTCTATTTTTGATTAGATTTATAAACACAGCACCACATATTTTCATGTGGCTTATCGCCTAGGGGCAGAATCAGATTGGCTGCACTGAAACTGTGAGGCTTGTGAATTTTGGGCAAGGGCTAATGTGAAATAAGTAGTGTAATTGTTTTTGTGGAGTGACCGTGGGACCTCCTCTGTTCTGAATTACACATGGCTCAACCCTTTGACCTGACCAGACTCTGCAAAGGCTGGCAGGACTCCTAACGCTGTGCTGAAAGGGTCGTCGCTGGACAAGCTGGAACGTTATCTGTCAGGCCAGATGTGGGCCAACAACTAGATTCAAATATATTAATTACTAGTAGGACACATTTGCGACCACTTCGGCTTCACTTAACCCATCATCATATAAGTTATTATTTCAACAGGAAGTGCCAGTGCGGGGAATGTTTAGAATCCAAATGTAGCACAGATCCTTTGATAAATAGATTATTAGGCTATTTTTTTTTTTAGTTTACTAAATTTTGGATCATCTTTGAGAATATTTTGCCTAATAATTCAAGCATTATTATTTTGATTTTTCTAATATCCCCAGGTTTGGGGGGGAATGTCATAAGCCATGATTAAAACTCTTTCATCTCAACGAGTTTAATTCTTTCAAAATAGATGGTAATCCACTGATATAATTCCTTGAAAGAATCAAAGCTGCGGGAATGCAGAGAACTGGGAAAAGATTTGGGAGAATCATAGGTGCTGACATTTGTGCAATTGTGGAGAATTCATTCTGTGATGCACATGATGATGAGTTGGATAAAGATGTTTATGTCTATCTAGGTATGATTTTGAAGTGACACCCTTGAATTTTTGTTTCGGATTCAGCAGCTTAAATTTTCAAAGGCAATCTAAGCGGAAATCTCAAGTTTATTTTTAGGCCCTTGACATTATTACCAAAACTAGTCCTACTTCTGGAATATGCCTAAAAATTTTTTAAATTTGCTTTCTTTCCTTGCCAATGCTACAAAGTAAAGGTCTCTGTAGATATTTTATGTTTACACTCACATGGAAATAATTTAGCATTTAAATATTTGCTTTCTTATCTGAGGCAACTCAGGCTAAATATTAATTCAATTCTTAGTTACATGACACTTAAAATTTTCTTTAAAGAGTACACAACTTTATGTGTTGGTATTTTGTTTTTGTTTTTGTTTTTGTTTTTGTTTGAATTGTATTTTTCTCTTCCTCCAGTGACTCTAAACATGAAAATGGGGAGGTCCTCATCCAATCAGTTACAAAAAATAAAAAAATAAAAAATAAAAAACACTAAGATATTCTATAAGTCCCCCAACAGAACTGCATTCAGCCCTACCCAGTCTCACTCTCATTAGCAGTGAAGGGTTTGCTCTCCACACAATCTAACGTGGAATGCTTAGAGCAGACAGGTGCAAATTGCAAGCTGTTTCACTTTGGCTGTTATCCCTTGAATCGACAAAGTAATAGACTGGGAGAACAAAAAAGGTTCCAGCTCAAGCTGCATAAATGAAAGTCTTAACAGGGACACACCAGCTGGCTAGGAGAATTCAATGTAGTGAATACTAAACATTACCTTTGTGCCACTTGCCAACGAAAAGGGCTTCAGTGACACCCCCTCCCTTTGATGATTGAGATGATGTGCCTTCAAAATCGTATTTTGCTTTATTGTAAAGGCGATACTGTGGCCGAAGTGGATGAGAACGGAATCCAACATACCTGTTCCTGTAATGTTGCCATCATTACACTCCTCCGAGCGATTCAGGCATGATTAGGTTCCTGGAGTGGGACCAGATTGACAGTATTTCTATCCACGTCTTTTTTGGCTGATCCAAGCAAAGCCCTAGAGCAGTGAAACAACAAAACACAATCACTAGCACCCCCGCCTCCCCAGCAAGATGAATCGCTGAGCTGGTCTGCCGAAAAAAACAGTTGTTCATATTAGGAACACCTAATTTCATTTCATGGAAGAGCCATGCCATGCCGGGATGTGTAGGAATCTAAGGTATGCGTTTCCAAAAAGAGACCCTAACTCTGTCATTCCAAAGTTGCTTCTCTTTGTGACTCCCCAGTGTGTACAGGAACTGTTGTCTGCAAGAAGGAACTTTTCACTTGAGCTTTGAGGCTACTGACTTGGTCTGACCCTGCAGATAAGGGTAGGAAGAAAAAGAGCTGGCCTTGTTTACAGCCGGACAGAAGAAAACAGCCAGACACAAATGAGGGGTGACGGTTTCATGAAGCACAATTGGTTGATCCCAGATGCAATCTGACTGCCCTGAACTGAGCGATGATCCGTACAGTATGCAGAATTCACTTTCTTGCTGGTCTGTGCCCACCAGCCTTGGAGGAGTGCTCCCTGCGTCCCTCAGCCATGGCTTTGAGTGCAACCAGAGCTGAACAACTGCACCGCAGGACCCGATTCCTTCTGACAACAATCACATTCTTTTAAAAACTTCATAGGTTTTGGTTGTCACTGGTTATAAATGAGTTTGTTGTTGTTCATGTTTGCTACTCTATCGTAGATTTCCTTTCAAGTTGAGAGTGTCCGCATCAAAAGATATTTGTTGCTTTTTAATGAAAAGGAAAATATTATCGGAAACTGTCAGTTCTTAAAAATTTCAGGTTTTCAGGGATTTTTTTTTCTGTTCAAATCACAAAGTATTGTTTCTTCCACATTACTGAATATATTTAATAGGGTAGCCTTACTAAAATTATTAAAAGGAACTGATTTAGCACTATTTAAACACACATATAAATATGTTACCTTTCAGTTATTCAAGATGAGTAAGTTCTAGGGATCTGTGGTCCAGCATCGTGCTGATAGTTAACACTGCAGTGATGAAACTTGTGTTAAGAGGGTAGATCTCATGTCATCTGTTCTTATCACAATAAAAAAATGCTTTAAAAGTGTGTCCCTTTAGAGAGTTACTTTGCGTTATAGCTGCTAAATAGAAACACGAAGGCAAAAGCCACAAAGCCTATCCATAGCAGATTTATTAATAGTTAAGATTTCTAGAGATTTTGCTGATCTTCAAAACTGAACAGATATCAGTGAGAAGCAGGAGGATGCTGGTGATGAAATTTTGTTTTTTTTAATTTAATTTTTGACATTCAGTATAGGAATTTAGTAAGTTAATGTGAACTTATTAAAATGCTAACATTTACATAAATACACTAAGTTAACTACTGGTAATGAATGAATTGATGTAAAATATGAGTGAAGGATTATTTTGCATGAGCTAAAGAGATAAAAATCTCATCAGGAAAGAGAGACTGAATTGAGAAGGGGGTGGGGAAAATGCAATTTACGCCACTTAAAGGTGCCCATGTGTAAAGGAGAGAAAACAGTGAGGAAATTGGCAAAAGAGAGAAGTCAGAAATCACTCCTAATTTCCTCTTGAACATATGTTAGTAGTGAAGAGGTCACAAAATACAAACCACCGCTTGGTGATCCTCTCAAAGAATTCATCTCTGGTGTGTACAATCAGACATTGCTTTCCTTTTGAATATGTGAACTTGTGAAAATATGTTTGAGACCTTTTTAACATTAGAGAGCAAGTCCATAATTTCATTTGAAGTCCTTAGTAAGGAAATGAGGTCTATTAATAGGCCACATCCATCTATTTAAAAGCATGTTTAACTCGATCTGAAAGGAGTGAAGTGCCAAAATTACTGAACCATGTCAAGAAAACTAATATCTGCTGTTACCTCAGCTGAAGGCTGTGAAAAAAACAATCAGACTTCAACCTCTTTCTTAATAAAATGTAGGAACATTTAGTGCAGTGGTGAACTACCCTTTTTAAAGTTTAGCAAGTTTTTTATGAATGTAGTCTAATTTATTTTATCTATTTATTTTTGTTTTGTTTGAAACGGAGTCTCGCTCTGTTACCCAGGCTGGAGTGCAGTGGCACGATCTCGGCTCACTGCAAGCTCCGCCTCCCGGGTTCACGCCATTCTCCCGCCTCAGCCTCCTGAGTAGCTGGGACTACAGGCGGCCGCCACCAAGCCTGGCTAATTTTTTTTTTTTTTTGTATTTTTAATAGAGACGGGGTTTCACCGTGCTAGCCAGGATGGTCTCAATCTCCTGACCTCGTGATCCACTCGCCTCAACCTCCCAAAGTGCTGGGATTACAGGCGTGAGCCACCGCGCCTGGCCTATCTTTTTTTTCTTTTTTTGAGACGGAGTCTCGCTCTGTCGCCCAGGCTGGAGTGCAGTGGCGCGATCTCGGCTCACTGCAAGCTCCGCCTGCCGGGTTCACGCCATTCTCCTGCCTCAGCCTCCGGAGTAGCTGGGACTACAGGCGTCCGCCACTACACCCGGCTAATTTTGTTTTTGTATTTTTAGTAGAGACGGGGTTTCACTGTGTTAGCCAGGATGGTCTCGAGATCCGCTTGCCTCGGCCTACCAAAGTGCTGGGATTAGAGGCGTGAGCCACCGCTCCCAGCCTGAAATAACTTTTTAACCTATTTTACACTAAATATTTACTTTTGTTTCAGAGGGATTCTCGGAAAACTAGGCCCTGTATTTGGGTTGGCTGCGTGGCATATTTGTTAGTAAATCTCCAACATGGCTTTATGATATTATGATATTTATGCAACTTATGATGTTATGATTTAATTGCTTTATAATGTGATAAAAATAATAAAAAATTTTTGAAAAATTCAGGTTTATTGTAAACATTTTAACAAAAAATGGGAATATTAGAAGCTTTAGCAAACCCATTACAAGCAATGACATAGGATTTAAAAATAGACAAGGCATTTTGTAATTTTGAATTTAGTCGTCAGAAACTATTAAATGAGTTGTCAAACATGGCACTATCTTAGAAACAGAACTGAGGTTTGCTGTTTTCTACTGTCTTTGTCTTTCTTGGTCTTATTGCTTATTGTTAACCTGAGTTTTAATTCAATCTGAGTTTACATGTTTCTATCACAGATATATTTTAAAATTTAGTCTGACAGTTACCAAGTATTCATTTGGAACTTGTAGGAGTCTGAGAACTCTAATAATATTTCTGGCTATTCATTTTCATTTTTGACCATTTATTATGTATTCTAATATTAATGGGTTTTCTAGTCACATAATGACTTCTGGTTTTCAGTGACGGGGCATCTTATGAAATCTTTGTAAGTACCATAGAGTATGACTCACTTGGCAACTGGCACTTTACATTGTTTTGCCTGTTACTGAAATTTAAGAATATTGGATCCTATATATCCCTGATTTGATTCAAATAAAAAATTAGTTCACATACTGAAATCTAGCAGTTTAAAACAAATATGGATGCAAGCGAGAACAAATACCTAGCACATACAGGTTTCCTGCAAGATAATTCTGTTCTACCAAAGAAAATGGCATTGTAGCACAGTCCAAATGAATGAATGCCAATTGTGCTGTGTAAGTTTCTCAGTGCAAGTTTTTCAGCATTCTTAATTTGTTGAGGGCTCTTTGCATTAATTAAAAATGATAAAAACAAAGTATTTTAATGTGACCTTCATTTGGCATTTGTATTAACTTTTCTTATCCTATTTTATTTAATTCTTCCACTTCTGTTGTTCAATTAGTGTTTGACCCCTTTAGGAGAGATGTAAATTAAATGACATTTCAATGCCATCCCATATTTAAAATACTGTGTTAGTTGTGGATCATAAATGATGATCTTCATTCTTTAGCTAATTTATTCATTTAACAATTTCCCTCCAGAAGTTTCAGCAGAAGGCTCTGAAGCAAACTAAGCAGAAGAAATCCAAGTCGGCTGAATTTCTGATGGGTGAGCCTTGCTTGATGAGTTATTGCTCATAATTTGTGTAAGGATTAATTAACTAATTACAGACAAATGGCTGTGGGCGAAATTTTGCTCTTGCTTGTCAGGGTGCAATTTGTAATTATTTTAATCATTTATTCTTTTTTTTAAGAGTTAATTTTAACCTAATTCTGTTTTGGTGACATTTGAGGACGATACACTTGAGTCTTTCCACGCAAGAATTACTGGAAGGAATTTTCTGCTTGTCATTGGAATATATTTTGTTATCGTATGATCTTCTGACCTCCTTGTTTTGCTCTAGTTAAAGAAGATAGAGAAGCTACAGAAGGCACTGGAAATCCAGCTTTTAACATGAGCAGTCCAGATCTCTCAGCATGTCAGACTGCAGAAAAGAAAGTTATTAGACACGACATGCCGGATCGCACCCTTGCAGCTCACCAACAAAAATTCAGGCTGCCAGCCTCTGCAGAACCAAAAGGTGTGACTTCAGTCCTGATTATCTTCACACTCAGTGACAGTTGCTGTCCTCCTCATCTAACCTGGGCATCCTAGAGCTGGCATCAGGCATTCCAGTCTGGCGTGTCTACACAGGTTTCCTGGGGAGGCTCTGGATGTAACTCGGCAGGACACACTTAAGGATCTGCTTTGCCATTGGTATGCAGGCCATAATCTCATCTGTGAAGGTTGCTGAGCACTGAATCCACCCCAACTCCGGATGCTGAGATGGAAGGGGTTCAGTCTGTCAGGGCGTCACACCCTCGACTCTGGTGCAGATAGGGGATTAAATGTTGACGCTCCCATTTATAGGATGCCATCCTGCCAATATACTTGTAGACTATGCTGGCACCCCATTTTGGGGCTTAGACCCTAATGCTTCCCTCCTTTAGAGGAAGATATAATTTCTCTATAGGTTTAGACACCTGTGCAAGAGTTTTAAGAATAACTGCATGAAGCATCCCTTAGTATTTATAATTTCTCTGCAGAAATTTACCATAAGAAATAGTTTCCTTGATTTTCTGAGTTAGGGATAGTTCCGATAGTTAACTATATAAAGGGTGCTACCTAAGCAAGGGGAGTACACACTTTGCATCAAGTCAATATATGATGTCTGGTTCCTCCCACTCTCGAGAAGGCAGCTCTTCTAAGCTATGACCAATTTGCTGCCAAGAAGGGAAGATTGCTTGCACCTACAAAGAAGTCATTAAAAGTTGCTGTCTTTGCTCTTATCATCATCATTGAACAAGACAAAAGATACCCGAATTTAATAACCAGATAGCTTTTAGAGAGGGAACTGTCTGAAGTAATGAAGCATGAGCTGGCACAGATGTGTTCTCGGCTGGTCCCACTTAGCAGCCTCATCAGGATTTCCACCTGTATGAAACAGGCAGTGCAGATCCCAGTAGATTATCATGGTGTACAGAGCATGCATGTTGTGATTTTTAATTCCTAAGGCTCAGGAGAAATTCTGCCAGCCTCTAAGTATTTAATATCTACCTTCTACGTAATATCATACATGTTCACATCGATGGATTTTGCTTAGGTTTTCTTCTCCTTGCCTGTGTGCATGCATGTGTTTGTGTGTGTGTGTGTGTGTTTGTTTCTGTACGTCTGTAGCTAGGTGGTGGGATTTGGGCTATCAATAATAATAATAATAAACAGCTGCCATTCTTTCTTTAGTGCTTATTATATGTTATCAGATACTAAGCACTTTATGTACATTACCTCATTTAATTTCATACTTCTTTAGGGTGGCATTGTAGGGTATGCATTCAGTTAATGCACTAAAAGCCCCAGTAACAGTGGCTTTGACAAATTTTGGTGTCTTTCCTTTTTTTAAAAATGTACTTTTAAGTTCAGGGGTACATATTCAGGTTCGTTATATAGATAAACTTGTGTCATGGGGGTTTGTTGTACCGATTATTTCATCACCCAGGTATTAAGCCTAGTACCCATTAGTTATTTTCCTGATCCTTTCCCTCCTCCCACCTTCCACCTTCCAATAGGCCCCAGTGTATGTTGTTCCCCTTTATGTGTCCATGTGTTCTCATCATTTAGCTCCCACTTATAAGTGAGAACATGTGGTATTTGGTTTTCTATTCCTGCATTAGTTTGCTAAGGATAGTGGCCTCCAACTCCATCCCTGTTTTTGTAAAGGACATGATCTCATTTTATTTTGGCTACATAGTATTCCATGGTGTATATCTACCACATTTGTTTTATGCAGTCTACCATTGATGGGCATTTAGGTTGATTCCATGTCTTTGCTATTGTGAATAGTGCTGCAATGAGCATATGCGTGGATGTGTCTTTATGGTAGAACAGTTTATTTATATTCCTTTGGGTATGTACCCCCTAAAGGGATTGCTGGGTCAAATAGTATTTCTGATTTTAGGTCTTTGAGAAATCGCCACACTGTCTTCTGCAATGGTTAAACTAATTTACACTTCTACCAACTGTGTGTAAGTATTCCTTTTTCTCCACAACTTCACCAGCATCTGTTATTTTTTTATTTTTTAGTAATAACCATTCTGACTGGCGTGAGATGGTATCTCTCTGTGGTTTTGATTTGCATTTCTCTAATAATCAGTTATGTTGAGCTTTTTTCATATGATTGTTGGCCGCATGATATTCTTTTTTGAGAAGTGTCTGTTCATGTCCTTTCTCCACTTTTTAACAGGGTTGTTTGTTTTACTCTTGTAAATTTGTTTAAGTTCCTTATAGATGCTGAATATTAGACCTTTGTTAGATGTATAGTCTGCAAAACTTTTCTCCCATTCTGTAGGTTGTCTGTTTACTCTGCTGATAGGTTCTTTTGCTGTCCAAAAATTCTTTAATTAGATCTCATTTGTCAAGTTTTACTTTTGTTGCAATCGCTTTTGGCATCTTTGTAATTAAATCTTTGCCTGTGCCTGTGTTCAGAATGATACTGCCTAGGTTGTCTTCCAGGGTTTTTGTAGTTTGGGGTTTTACATCTAAGTTTTTAATCCATCTTGAGTTGATTTTTGTATATGGTGTAAGAAAGGGGTCCAGCTTCAGTCTTCTGCGTATGGCTAGCCAGTTATCCCAGCACCATTTATTAAATAGGAAATCCTTTCCCCTTTGCTTGTTTTTGTCAATTTTGTCAAAGATCAGATAGTTTTAGGTGTGTGGCCTTATTTCTGGAGTTTGTATTCTGTTCCATTTGTCTATGTGTCTGTTTTTGTACCAGTACCATGCTGTTTTGGTTATTGTAGCCCTGTAATATAGTTTGAAGTTGTGTAGCGTGATGCCTCCAGCTTTGTTCTTTTTGCTTAAGATTGCTTTGGCTATTCAGGCTCTTCTTTGGTAACGTATGAATTTTAAAATAGTTTTTTCTAGTTCTGTGAAGAATGTCATTGGTAGTTTAGTAGGAATAGCATTGAATCTATAAATTGCTTTGGGCAGTATGACCATTTTAAAGATATTGACTCTTCCTATTCATGAGCATGGAATGTTTTTCCATTTGTTTGTGTCATCTCTGATTTCTTTGAGTAGTGTCTTATAGCCCTCCTTGCAGAGATCTTTCACTTCTCTGGTTAGCTGGTATTTCTAAGTATTTTATTTGTGTGCATGTGTGGCAATTGTGAGTGGGATTGCATTCCTGATTCTGCTCTCAGCTTTGACTGTTATTGGTATATAGGGGTACTAGTGATTTTTGCACATTGATTTTGTATCCTGAGACTTTGCTGAAGTTGTTTTACCAGTTTAAGGAGCTTTTGGGCTGAGACCATGGAGTTTTATAGTTATAGGATCATGTCATCTGTAGACAGGGATAGTTTGACTTCCTCTCTTCCTATTTGGATGCCCTTTATTTCTTTCTCTTGCCTGTTTGCTCTGGTCAGGACTTCCAATACTATGTTGAATAGGAGTGGTGAGAGAGGGCATCCTTAACTTGTTCCAGTTTTCAAAGGGAATGCTTCCAGCTTTTGCCCTTGGTATGATGTTGGCTGTAGGTTAGTCATAGATGGCTCTTATTATTTTGAGGTATATTCCTTCAACACCTAATTTATTGAGAGTTTTTAACATGAAGGCGTGTTGAATTTTACTAAAAGCCTTTTTTTCATCTATTGAGATAATCATATAGCTTTTGTCTTTAGTTCTGTTTATGTGATGAGTCACATGTTTTGATTTGTATATGTTGAACCAACCTTGCATCCCAGGTATAAAGCCTACCTGATTGTGTTGGATAAGGTTTTTGATGTGCTGCTAGATTCAATTCTCCAATATTTTGCTGGGGATTTTTGCATCTATGTTCATCAAGAATATGGGCCTAAAGTTTTTTTGTTGTTGTTGTGCTTCTGCCAGGTTTTAGTAGCAGAATGATGCTGGACTCACAGAATGAGTTAGGGGAGGATTCCCTCTTCCTCTTTTTTTTTTTTTTTTTTGAAGTACCTTCAGTAGGAATGGTGGAATAATGGTACCAGCTCTTCTTTGTACATCTGGTAGAACTCAGTTGTGAATCCATCTGGTCCTGGGCTTTTCTTGGTTGGTAGGCTATTTATAACTGATTGAATTTCAGAGCTCTTTATTGGTCTGGTCAGGGATTTAATTTCTTGCTGGTTCAGTCTTCGGAGTCCAGGAATTTATCTATTTCTTCTAGATTTTCTAGTTTATATGCATAGGGGTGTTCATAACATTCTCTGATGGTTGTTTGTATTTCTGTGGGGTCTGTGGTAATATCCTTCTTGTTTTGGATTGTGTTTATTTGGATTTTCTCTCTTTTATTCTTTATTAGCCTAGCTAGCATTCTAGCTATTTTATTGATGTTTTCAAAAAACCAGCTCCTGGATTCGTTGATCTTTTGAATGGTTTCTTGTGTCTCAGTCTCCCTCAGTTCAGCTCTGATTTTGGTTATTTCTTGTCTTCTTTCCATTTTATTATTTTATAATCCCTAAGCTGTTGTTCTCATCTGCATGGTCCAAGATGACTAGATATCACTTCTATATTTCAGGCACTTGCAGAAAAGAAAAAGGCCACATACAGGTAGTTAGATATGCCATTTCTGTTTCTATGCCTTTTGCCAGAGAGAGAGTTAGATATGCCATTTCTGTTTGTATGCCTTTTGCCACATGGAGCTGCAAGAGAGGCTGGGAAATGAAGGCCTTAGCTGGTAGCCAAGTTCCAAGGTGAAGGTGGAAGGTTTCTATTATTATTATTATTATTATTTGAGATGGAATTTTGCTCTGTAGCCCAGGCTGGTGTGCAGTGGCATGATCTCGGCTCACTGCAACCTCTGCCTCCTGGGTTCAAGTGGTTCTCCTGCCTCAGCCTCCCAAGTAGCTGGGATTACAGGTGCCTACCACCTCACCTGGCTAATTTTTGTATTTTTAGTAGAGATGGGGTTTCTCCATGTTGGCCAGGCTGGTCTCGAACTCCTGACCTCAAGTGATTACCCCGCCTTGGCCTCCCAAAGTGCTGGGATTATAGGTGTGAGCCACCGCACCCGGCTGGTTTCTATTATTAAAGAAGAGAATGTATATTGGGGTCAACTAGCAGGCCCTACTCAAAGTACATTTTATTATTATCCTCATCCTATAGATGAGGAAATCAAGGTTGTAGCTTGACTAAGGTAAAGCATACAATGCATGGTGTGATGAGAGATTTAAAGGAGGGCTTGTTTGGCTCTGCGGTATATGCATTTTACTCCTCTGCTGTATGTCTCTCTTTTGGTTAGGGGTGATGTCACCTGATAAAAGGACAGGGCATTGTGAAGGAATGTCAGCATGACATCTAGTGTGGTTGCATGATGTAATCAGAAAGGAAACTCTAGAGCTTGGCCAGACATGCAAGGTCAGCAAATCCATAGATTAGCAGAGAAGATGCAGGAAAGAAGATGAATGCACAGGAAAAGGAAGGGAGGGTTAGAGTTCCTTGGCATCCATTTGGCCTCTCAGTGAACTCTTGACTCTGAAGATCAACTTCTGGTGTCATCAGTCCAGGGGCAGGCAAATATCACCTGTCCAGGGGCAGAGCAAGGGAATCTTTGGTTCCCTTGACAGAAATGGTCTTGTTATTGAGCTAGAGTATTTCACAGTTAGATCCTGGAGGTAAAAATGTGTCCTTGAGCCCAAATGGAGGATGGAGCAGCCCTTCGTTATAAATTCATATTTAGCAGAGGTATTCAGACTTCTTCAATAAGAATTCTTATTCCCTGGGGGCAAAAAAAAGACTAGGAAGCCTTTGTGAAAAATCTCAATTTTTTAAGTTTTTAGATTGATATTCAGTTTAGAAGTGGAGTACTACTTGATGACTTAGCTGTTTGAAACTCAATAAAATGAGGCATGGTTAATAATTACACTTATCATACATCAGGTGTTGGAGAGAGAGAAAAGTGAGGTCATAAGAAGGATGTCATCTGTGTCTTAGGATGTTAAGTACATGTTACAGGCAAGTACTATCTAAGAGAAAGTAAAGAGAGCCACATACATAATTTAAAATTTTCTCCCTTTAGGAAGCTGAGGCTGGAGGATCACTTGAAGCCAGAAGTTTGAGATCAGCCTGGGCAACAAAGTGAGACCCCATCTCTACAAAAAAAAAAAAAAAAAAATTAGTCAGGGGTGGTGGCATGTACCTGTAATTCCAGCTACTCAGTAGGATGAGGTGGGAGGATCACTTAAGCCCAGGAAGTCAGAGGCTGCAGTGAGCTATGATCATGTCACTGCACTCCAGCCTAAGCTACAGAGCAAGACCCCATCTCTAAAGTAAAAAAAAAAAATAAATACAATTTCTGATAGCTACTGTAACAAGATTTTTTAAAAAGCTCAATTAATTCTAATTTTTTCTATATTCTATATTTCTAATTCTATATTTTATTTAAGCCAATATCTCTAAAATATTATCATTTCAACTTAAAACCAATGTAAAACTGAAATATTTTCCCTTTTTTGTACAAAATCTTTAAAACACAGTGTGAATCATTACACTGACAGCAAACCTCAATGTGAGTTAGCCCCATTTCAAGTGCTGTATAGGCATACTATTATAGATTTAGTCCCTGTGTGTTAGGAAAGACTAGGCATGAAGGTAGTTATTTTCACAAGTGATCGTCAGTTTGGTTTTGGAAGATGGGAGGATCCAAATTTATAAGCCAAAAGTAAAGCAGAGAGGAAGAAACCAAAGAGAAGGAACTTTGGATGAAAAATCCAAGAATGATTTATCATCCTTACAAATCCAGCCAGTTACTGACAGAGGCAGGAGTTATATTCTCTGTATTCTGGAATAAAGCCAACTTAAAAAAATTATTCAATGCATTTTTACCTTTCCCTATTCCCTTTGAGGGGACTTCTGAAAAAATTCAGTTGCAAATGATACATGCAATTTTATGGTCTGTGAATAAAGAAGAATATTTGAAATACGTGCACGTAGAAACTACTAGATACCGTAGAACACGGTGTTTCTTGTTAATACAGTTTTTTAAAAGAACATTTATATTAACTGCCAATGTGGTTACTTAGAGAAAATAGAGTAGTTACATATTTTCCCCACAATAATATTAGAATTAGCACAAATTATCATCTGGAAAGTAAATATCAATACATTTCTTCCTTTAAGATGCTTTTTAAAGAAATGCATTGTATGTAATGGCAGAATTCCAACATGACTTTATTCAAATTCCCTCAAGGAAATGAAAAATTATTTGCCAAATAGCAATTTAAATTATGAAGGAAATGTCTAGGAGAGGGATTTTCTAGAACCAAATCTTTATAAAAAAGACTTCAAGTTTATGATAGATTGAGTCTCTTAGTATAGTAGAAAAGTAATTAAAGTAAGGACACACTGATCTTCAGGAATAGCCAAAATAGGCAACTACCAACTGCTGTGATTTCGAGATCATTGGGAAGGGCTTTGTATACCCTCAGATCCCACCTGGAGACTCCAGTGTTAAGGCGTCCTTAGAAACTTATTCATCTAAACGTTTTCCAGGGAAAATGACAATGGGCAGCAGAGCTGACACTGTAAGTTGGTATCGGCCATTTTTTTTTTTTTTTTTGAGACAGAGTTTAGCTTCCTCTGTTGGCCAGGCTAGAGTACGGTGGCGCTATCTCAGCTCACTGCAGCCTCCACCCCGTGGGTTCAAGCAATTCTCATGCCTCAGCCTCCAAAGTAGCTGGGACTACAAGTGAATGCCACTACACCTGGCTAATTTTTGTATTTTCAGTAGAGATGGGGTTTCCCCATGTTGGCCAGGCTGGCCTCAAACTCCTGGCTCCAGGCAGATTGCTTGGGGCCAGGAGTAACAGACGTGAGCCACCATGCCTGGCCAGTAACAGTCATTTTTGCAAGGTGCAAATGGAAAACAATAGAACAGAACTGAACTCTCAGTCCTTCCTTCTCACTGTTGCCGTATCCCCTCCTGGCCTGCTCTGCCTTTGCTCCCCCACTTCTGATGAAAGTCCGCGAGGCTCTGCATCAGACTTTTGTTTCAGTTCCCACTGGCCTTTCGTTTGTAAGCAGACAATTAGCAAAAACGTTAAACACCCCATGCTGTACATTCCCAGAGGAATTTGCATATATGTAATTTTTTTTAAGTATGAATGCAAAGATTTATTAGAAGGATTTTTAAAAGTCATACAACTTTTTAACACTTATTTTAGGTTTGTGGGTACATGCGAAGGTTTGTTACATAGCTAAACATACATCACAGGAGTTTGTTGTACAGATTATTTCATTACCCAGATATTAATTCATCACCCAGGTATTAAGCCCAGTATCCAATAGTTACCTTTTTTGCTCCTCTCCCTCCTCCCACCCTCCTCCCTCAAATAGACAGCAGTGTCTGTTGTTTTCTTCTTTGTGTTTGTAAGTTCTTACCATTTGGCTCCCACTTACATGTGAGAACATGCAGTATTTAGTTTGCTGTTGCTGTGTTAGTTTGCTATGGATAATAGCCTCCAGCTCCATCCATGTTCCCGCAAAAGACATGACATCATTCTTTTTTACAACTGCATAGCATTCCATGGTGTATATGAACCACATTTTCTTTATCCAATCTGTCATTGATGGGCATTTTGGTTGATTCCATGTCTTCGCTATTGTGAGTAGTGCTACAGTGAATTTTCGCGTGCATGTGTCTTTATGGTAGAATGATTTATATTCTTCTGTGTATATACTGAATAATGGGATTGCTGGGTCAAATGGCAGTTCTGCTTTTAGCTCTTAGAGGCATTGCCATACTGTTTTCCACAGTGGTTGAACTAATTTACCCTCCCACCAACAGTGCATAAGTATTCCCTTTTCTCCACAAACTCGCCAGCATCTGTTATTTTTTTTTTTTTGACTTTTTAGTAATAGCCTTTCTGACTGGTGTGAGATGGTATCTCATTGTGGTTTTGATTTGCGTTTCTCTAATGATCAGTGATATTGAGATTTTTTCCTATGCCTTTTGGCTGCATGTATGCCTTCTTTTCAGAGGTGTCTGTCTGTGTCCTTTGCTGGGCTGCATGTCCTCTGCTCCATCTTGCCCAGACCCGGTGTTTGTTGTGTGCACACTGCTTCCCTGATGGAACTGTCTCACCTCATCCTCAGTGCTCACTGCCTGCTACACCCTGCCTGAAGATGATTTGCTAGATGATAACAGCACATCCAGAATTATCATAGTTGAAAAGAGATGTGTAGAGAAGCCACAACTGCTTAGAACTTCACGGGGAGAGTTTGTTTTGGTTCCTAACCTGGGTGGGGGGAAAGAGAACCTTTACTATTCCGAATATATAATATGGTGGTACTAAAATTAGAGTTAATACCTGAGTTCTATTTTTTATGTTTTATATGTATTTTTTATAGAAACAGAGTCTCACTACGTTGCCTATGTTGCCTAGGCTGGCCTCCAACTCCTGGGCTAAATTCTAAATGGCAGTAAAATGTAATGTGGGACAGATGTGAGAAGGGGCTATAGGAAGATACTAGATAGGAAGAAAAATAATTATAGACGTGAATAGTGGAACAGTTAAACTCATGGTGAGTTTTTTTTGTTTGTTTGTTTTTGAGACGGAGTCTCACTCTTGTCGCGCAGGCTGGAGTGCAGTGGTGCGATCTCAGCTCACTGCAACCTCTGCCTCCTGGGTTCAAGTGATTCTCCTGCCTCAGCCTCCTGAGTAGCTGGGATTACAGGAACCCACCATCATGCCTCGCTAAGTTTTGTATTTTTAGTAGAGACGGGGTTTCACCATGTTGGCCAGGCTGATCTTGAACTCCTCACCTTGGAAGATCCGCCCACCTCAGCCTCCCAAAGTGCTCGGATTACAGGCGTGAGCCACCGTGCCCAGCCTCATGGTGAATTTTTGAAATTGCACTTAGGAAGTTTTTCCTTTTCAATTTCTAACTTTCACTGAGGTTATTTCAAAACTAAGTGGAAAAGAAACAAATGTGATTAATTGTATACATTATTGTTTAAGCCAGGCATAGCTATACTTAACTTTAAAAAGCAGAATTGACAATATTGAAGAATACAACCCTGCTTTTCCCTCTTTCCTCCTGGGAGTTGTGTATTACGGTTGTTTCTGTACTCTTGCTAGACATCACATGGTAGCATCTTCCAAGGATGCAGACTGGCTGCTATGATGCTGGTGTGAACATGTGCCACTTAGAGCTCCTTGGTGGTAAACAACAGAAACCATCTCTTACTAATTCAAGCAGAAGGATTTCATGAGCTCTGAGATTCAATAGTGGAAATGGGCAAAAACTGAGATGCCTACGGGTACAGGAAGTTGGAAACACAGTAACTGTCCCATAGCAGGAGCAGTCTGGTTTTGATACAGCTCTTAACCACTGTGATGAGTAAATGCCAAACGTTCTTTCCATCCTTGTTTCACTTATACAAAATTCGAAGTCTTAGAGGGAGATCATTTGATTGGCCATGCATAGGCCAGTTGCTTGCCTCCTGGCTCTATCACAGGGTAGGAGAAGTAGATTCTGTCAAGCCCTCCTTGGCTTCTGTAGTTGGAGAGAGGAATCTGGAGTTACTGGGCCATTGAGACTGTACACAATGAAACTAGGAAATTGTGATGCCATTAAGGAGGGGAAATGGATGCAAGACAGCAAAGACAGATAAGCCAAACAAAAATCTGATAAGTGTTCCTATGGTTGATATGGCTTGGATTATTTACTGACTGCCACCTATTGCTAATAATGTCAGTACAACATCAATGAAAACAGAAGTGGTATATGCATGATTAGTTGGGCATAAAGTAATTTATTCCACATTTTGATCAGAAGTTAGATATGTAAAACATCAAAAATGCTTTATGTGTCTCTCCATTTCTTCCTCCTCATTCGTTGAAAAGCATATTTACTGAACATTTTCTATTTTTCAGGCACTATGCCAGGTATGAGAAATATAAAAGAAAACAGAAAAGACATAAAGGATTTCTATGTTTATGAAATATATTATGTCAGCAGAGTTGCATTGAGGGCAACTACAGGCATACCTTGGAGATATTGCGGATCTAGTTCTAGACCACTACAATAACATGAGTATCACAAAACAGTGAGTCATGTAAATGTATTGGTTTCCCAGTGCATATAAAAGTTATGTTTACACTTTATTGTAGCCTATAAAGTATGCAATAGCATTATGTTCAAAAATACGTATGCACCCTAATTAAAAAAATACTTTGCTGCTAAAAATTGCAACAATCCTCTGAGCCTTCAGTGAGTCATAATCTTTGCTGGTGGAGCAAAGCTAGATGTTGATGGCTGCTGACTGGTCAGTGGTGGTTGCTGAAGTTGGAGTGGCTGTGGAAAAATCTTAAAATAATACAACAATGAAGTTTGCCACAGCAATTTATTCTTCCTTTCACAAAAGATTTCTCCGTAGCATGCGATGCTGTTGGATAGCCTTTCACCCACAGTAGAACTTTCAAAATTGGAGTCAATCCTCTGAAACTCTGCAGCTGCTTTGCCAGCGAAGTTTATGTAATATTCTAAATCCTTTGTCATCATTTCAGACAATGTTCACAGCTTCATCACCAGAAGACTCCATATTAAAAAACCACCTTATTTGATCATTTGTAAAAAGCAACTTCTTATCCATTCAAGTTTTATCAGGAGATTGCAGCACTTCTGTCTGTTTCAGCCTCTACTTCTAACTCTAGTTCTCTTGCTATTTCTACCACATCTGCAGTTAATTCCTCCACAGAATTCTTGAACCCCCTCAGAGTTACCCAGGGGGGTCAGAATCAATTTCTTCCAAACTCCTGTTAATGTTGATATTTTGACCTCCTCCCATGAATCACAAATGTTCTTAATGACAACTATAATTGTGAATCCTTTCTAGAAAGTTTTTAATTTCCTTTACCTAGATCCAACAGAGGAATTTCTACCTATGGGATGCTTACCTTTATGAAATGTATTTCTGAAATAATAAGATTTGAAAGTCGAAACTACTCCTTTATCCATGGACTGCAGAATGGATGTTCTGTTAGCAAGCATGAAAACAACGTTCATCTCCTTGTGCTTCTCCATCAGGAGCTCTTGGGGACCAGGTGCACTGTCAATGAGAAGTAATATTATGAAAAAAATCTCTTTTTCTGAGCAGTGGGTCTCAACAGTGGGCTTAATATATTCAGTAAAACAAGCTGTTAACAGATGTGCTGTCATCCAGGCTTTCTTGTTCCATTTATGGAGCACAGACAGATGTAGTGTAATTCCTAAGGGCCCTAGGATTTTCAGAATGGTACATAGTATTGGCTTCAACTTAAGGTGATCAGCTGCATTAGCCCCTAATAAGCGAGTCCAACTGTTCTTTGAAGCTTTGAAGACAGGCACTGACTTCTCTCTAGCTGTGAAAGTTCTAGATGGCATCTTCTTCCAACAGAAGGCTATTTCATCCACATGGAAAATCTATTGTTTCGCATAGCCACCTTCATCAATGATCTTAGCTAGATATTCTGGATAACTTGCTGTAGCTTCTGCATCAGCACTTGCTGCTTCACCTTGCACTTTTCTGTTATGGAAATGGCTTCTTTCTTTAAACCTCACGAGCCAACCTCTGCTAGCTTCATTTTTTTCTTCTGCAGTTTTCTCACCTCTCTCAGTCTTCACAGAATTGAAGAAAGTTAGGGTCTTGCTCTGGATTAGGCTTTGGTTTAAGGGAATATTGTGGCTGATTCCATCTTCTATCCACACCACTAGAACTTTCTCCATATTAGCAAAGCTATTTTGCTTTCTTATAATTAATGTGCTCACTGGAGTAGCACTTTTAATTTCTGTGAAGAGCTTTTCCTTTGCATTTGCAATGTGGTGGTTGGGTGGGTGCAAGACTCTTAGCTTTCCGTCTGTCTCACCTTTCAACATGCCTTCCTCACTAAGTTTAATCATTTCTAGCTTTTGAATAAAGTGAGAGATGTATGACTCTTTCTTTCACTTGAACACATAGAGGCCAATGTAGGGTTATTAATTGGTTTAGTTTCTATATGGTTGTGTTTCAGGGAATAGGGGGCCTGAGTAGAGGGAGAAAGATAGGGGATAAAGAGAATAGCTGGTCAGTGGAGCAGTCAGAACACACACATTTATCTATTAAGCTTGCTGCCTTATATGGGCATGGTTTATGGTGCTGCAAGACAATTATAACAGTAATGTCAACTATCACCGATCACAGATCACCATAACAGACAATGTAACGAAAAAGGTTGAAATATTGAGAGAATTATCAAAATGTGACACAGAGACTTGAAGTGAACACATGCTGTTGGAACAATGGCATTGATAGAGTTGCTTGATCCACGGTTGCCAAAACCCTTCAATTTGTGAAAAACCCATTATTTGCAAAGCACAATAAAGTGAAGAGCAATCAAACAAGATGTTCTTGTGTTTAGATTACAGTTGACCAGGCTGGGCACAGTGGCTCAAGCCTGCAATCCTAACACTTTGGGAGGCCGAGGTGGTTGGATCACTGCAGGTCAGGAGTTCAACACCAGCCAGGCCAACATGACAAAACCCCATCTCTACTAAAAACACAAAAATTAGCTGGGTGTGGTGGTGCACGCCTGTAATCCCAGCTACTCAGTAGGCTGAGGTAGGAGAATTGCTTGAACCTGGGAGGCAGAGGTTGCAGTGAGTTGAGATTGCACGACTGTACTCCAGCCTGAGTGATAGAGAGACACTCCATCCCCCTACCAAAAAAAAATTACAGTTGATCAATTCAGATTCATCTGGCACTCTCAAACACATATATTATGTGCTCATATACAATTTTTACATCTATTTTATATGTTTTATAAATAGCGTTTCTTTTATTCAATGAATATTTGTAGATATATGGCCAAAATAGTGTGTGTGTGTGTGTGTGTGTGTGTGTGTGTGTGTAGATACACCATAATAGTATAATTGGGATTTCAGTTTAGTTAAGTTAAGCCATGTTCAGTTTAGGACTGAGCATATCTGAAGATTTGTGGATTAAAGTGGCCTGAAATGAACACAGCCTTGCAATGAAAAAACTGAGACAGAAATTTAGGTTTTCTGATACATCAATGATTTGGTCAATATCTTAGCAGTTGGACCTCAAAAATGCTTTCTTTTTTAAAATTAGTTCCCTTTAAATATTGGGTGAAATTAAAAAAATACTTTTTTGGCCATTATAATAAGAAGCTGTACTATATTAATGAAATTTCATATTAAATTCAAACTTCACTAAGCTGTCTTTCGCCACCATTCGACTAGTTGATTTGTTGCATTTTCATTTTAAGAAAGACTAAGATGCCTCCTGGGAAGAGACTAATTCTAAGGAAAGAGACAGTCAGGCACACAAGCTTGATCTCATGCCAATATCTCAGGGCCAGAGAGGAAAGGTAATTTTGATTACAGTACAATGTTTGCCAATTGTATTGTTCTGTGGTCTAATCCTCAGACATTTATTCTTGGGAGTTAGTGGGAGGGGCTTGAAGTAAAAACTGAGATCTCCATCAGTTGTAGGGAGCCTGTGTGTAACATGGAGGAGCAGCATGTGGTGGGTAGGAGCTGGAAGATGACATATACCGAACCCCTTCACTTAGCATTGCTGATGGAACATCGGATGGACGGAGGTGTGAGTGCAAGGTTTGATCAGAACCAGGAAGATATTGGAGAGAATGTGGCATGGCCTGCAATGGGCACCAGCAAGAATCAGTGTTAGAGACACAGTAGTCAATGGAGGTGACCCCAGCAGCAGCTCTGGCACTGACAGGATGACGTCCATGTGGCTTTGTGGACTGGAGGTGCCACCAGTTGTTTCATGATTGATGTGGAGACGCTCGTGGTTTGAAGAGCATCATGGTCAGCATAAAATCCTTGACAGCAGGCAGCAATGCTGAAGGCTGAGAGTAGGGAAGGAAAATGGCAGACATTCCAGAGATGTGGAGAGGAATGAGTTCTGAGCATATGTGATCTCAGGACTTAGATCTTTCTGGAAGAGATGAGAGGTAGTTAGAATAAAGGATAGGGATCCATAGTGGTAGAGAAATCCTGGATTAGGGTAATAACTGTGACCCTAAATTTACCTTGAGACCACTATGGCCATTAGAAATACACATGTACAAAAATTTGTAATAAAAACAACATAAGCACTTGTGTTAAGTGCATAATTCAAATTGTCTGAGCAAATATGTGATGAGAATTGTTTTTCCCAGTAGTGCACGTAGCCTAGATTATTTTAGAAGTGATATTGTATAAAACTGTTTACATTGTTCTCATTTATAGCTGTTTTTCCCTTAAGATGGAAAACAAGTGCTAAATAAAATTGATAGACCATTTACAAAATTTTTTTTTGCTTTGAGACATTTAAACAATTATTAAGAAAAAGAAAATATATAGGAAAATCATTTTCTTTAGGTTTATTGAACTGACCTGGATTTGTGTCTTCAGAAACCATTGGGGTCCTAAGTGATTTGAATCTCTTTCATTGATTTGGAAGGCTAAAAATAAATCCTCAGGAAAGCATCCTTTTTACTGAAATACAGAAATATTTTATATAGATATTAGATGTATGAAATATTTGGTCAGTTTATAAAAATAAATTTGTTTCCTTTCCTCTTTTTTTAAAACAACAACAAAAACAAAACCAGAAACAAACAAACAAAAAAATGGAACAGCAGAGTTCCAGGACAATGTTTATCCAGTTGGAGAAGGAACATTTTAATGAAACATATGAGTTTTGGAAATGTCAGCAGAATAAGAAAAAACTTTTTTTTTTTTTTCTCAGAGGAACTGACTACCCCCAGGTAATCAGACAGATTTGCCCAGGAAATTAGCAGAATATCTGTTTGTGTTGTCCTTTTCTGTTTCTGTTAATGCTAAAATTGATGCCAGTGGTGACACTTAACTCTTAAGCATAGTTATTTTTATATTGTTGCTTCAAATCCACGTTAATGAAACCTCCAGTGTATGATTTTGCAAACAATGTTTTATAAAATCTGCCATAGGTCATTGAAGAAATAATCTTTGTAAGAATTATTTTAACATCCAGAGACATTACTATTCCAGTTCATTGATGACAGACAGATTCATATATTTAAACCAGTGGGTTTATATGTCATTGAAATTTATATGCCTTTAAAATAAAAATGTGAGCACAATAATCTATATGATAGTAAAAAGGTTGCTTAAGAATCTTAGAGTCATAGAATGGTAAAACTGGAGATCATATAGGTGATTTTTTAGGGGTCCAATGACTTTCTTAATATAAACATCGCTACGTAGTTAAAAAAAAAAACTGGGAAAGACTTCAGTTTTCCATTAATGATGCAGTCAGTGTCTAAGCAGTTGGTCAGATTACCAAATTGTACCTACCTCTGCTTAAATATTACATAAAAATTTCAAAAGGACTTTTTTTTTGGCTACTAGAATATGAAGTTTCACTATATCAATTAAATTCCATGTAAATTTCAAACTTCATTTGGCCACCATTTTAGCTGGAATTCAATAGTTCCACTTTTATTTTTATTTTATTTTTTTGAGTCTTTTTTTTTATTTTTTTGCGTCTTGCTCTGTCGCCCAGGCTGGAGTGCAGTGGCACTAACTCGGCTGACTGCAGCCTCCACCTCCCAGGTTCAAGCCATTCTCTCGCCTCAGCCTCCCGGGTACCTGGGACTACAGGCATGCACCATGATGCCTGGCTGATTTTTGTATTTTTAGTAGAGATGGAGTTTCGCCATGTTGGCCAGGCTGGTCTTGAACTCCTGACATCAGGTAATACACCCTCCTCAGCCTCCCAAAGTGAATAGTTGCAATTTTAGTATAAGAAAAATTTTACTAGAAAAATTTATCATGATCTTAGTGTTTTATGCTTTCGGCATATGTTTTCTATGCTTAGTATTTTATGCTTTTAGCATAATTTAGATTAGTCTTTAATCTCCAAATAATTTCATTTAGAATTTCTTTTGGACACTTGTGTTTGCTGTCAAAAACAATTTAATAGGAAATAAGCTTTCTTGGACCTTCAGCAAGTTGCTTTAAAAAATTAAGTTAAAAAAAATTAACAAGAAAATGAGCTTTCCTTAGCTTTTATCAGAATAATTGACCAAAAACCCAATATAAAAAGAAAAAAAATGGGAAGTCCTGAATCCTTTGCTTCACGAGATAGATTTTGTCTATAAGTTACAAGATTTTTTAGAAAAAAGATTATTTTGTTTAAACTAAACCCAATAATCCATTATATTGATTGTTTCATATTGAAGTATGTTTCAGTGTGATGAAAGACACTATTACCGGAATGAGCCCTTAAATACAATACATACATACAAGTAATCTTAGATCCATGAAGGACATGAATTGTTAAATGAATGAAGGCAAAATTGGAAAGATTGGAGGGGTGATTGATGTCTAAGATCAGGTACTTCATAATTTGAAAGGCAACTTTCCAAACTCTACACATTAACTTATTTACATGTAAGGTAATGTTGTCAAGCTTCAAACTAGCAGGAAAGAAACCCCACTTTGATTTGACTTTTGGGGAACTTTTAAATATGAGAAAAAACAATGTACTTATACTTAACCTTTGAATTACCGCAATTACTTATGTACTGGAAGCATCTTCCTGTTTAGAAGTTAGGGACACGCTTCAGCTCCTTGAGGATTCTAGGTCCAGTGAGCACACGATGCATGAATGCCTTGGGGTACTGTGGGATAAAGCCTGGCAGCGGTTAGCCACTCCACAGCACTCCAGTGGTTTGCAAGTCAAAGTGCCTCATAATTTACTGTGAGGGAGGGCCTTAAGGGAAGAAAGAATATGGCTCAATTAATTAGAACTTGTTAGCAAACTTCAACTGTTATCCAATTTAGATTTTCAAATTACCGATATATCAAATACCCACAAGATTTGGGAAGGAAGGAAGAACAAGCAGTTGAGAAAGCTAATTTGTCCAACATGGTACCAGTTCTTGAATATTCTGTTAGCAGCTGACCAATTTTCACATATTAGCCTTTCTATAAAGAAGAAGAAGACGGCCAGACACAGTGGCGCATGTCTGTAATCCCAGCACCTTGGGAGGCTGAGGTGAGAGGATCACTTGAGTCCAGGAGTTTGAGACAAGCCTGGGCAACATGGCAAGATTTCTCCCTCTACAAAGAATAAAAAAGTTAGCTGGGCATGTTGGTGCATGACTGTGGTCCCAGCTACTTAGGTGGCTGAGGCGAGGGGATTGCTTAAGCCCAGGAGTTTGAGGCTCAAGGCTGCAGTGAGCTATGATGGTGGCACTGCATTCAAACCTGGGTGACAGAATGCGACTCTGTCTCAAAAATTAAAAAGAAAGAAAAATTAAAAAAAGAAAAATGGTATAAATTTTTCTTCTATCTCTGACTTTCTGTTTTTAATTATGTTGTTACTTGTATGCCTTTCAGTTTGGGATTCTGAGTAAGATTAATAATCTTGATGACCACCTATAGATGCCTATGAAAGTCTAATATTAATTAATTAATTATTGAGTGTTATCTGGAGCTTTATAAAAGGTTTTGATTTGTTATCATTATATCTTCAAAGTGGCTATGGTTGGTATTTAGAAAAGTTAATGATTCTTTATGATTATATGGCTGTTTACCAAGATGTTATTCTTATTTGAATGACATCTCCTCTGTTCCGAAAGATTTTAAGTCAAATCTCTTGTTTTCATGGCATGAAATCATATTGCCGTCAAATAATGTGTATGCAACATACAATTTTTTCAATAACTTTGGCACATATTTTCCTTATTTTTACCCAGTTATGCTTTGGCCAAGATTTCTAGGAGAATGTTAGATAATCAGATTCATGATGGATATCCAAGTCACAGTTTGCATTTTTGTGACTGGTTTTTTATTTGTTTGGTTGTTTTGTGTTGTTGTGTTTGATATTTAGTACAGTGAAGACAGTTTAAGATAACTGTTTTTTTTGGTTGTTTTTTGGTTGTTATTTTGATATTTAAGAGTTAGTTATCTTAAACTAAGTCTTCATTGTACTAATTTTTTTGAGACTGGATAAAGAAAATGTACATGTACATCATGGAATGCTGTGCAGCCACAAAAAGGAATGAGATCATGTCCTTTGCAGGGACAAGGATGAAACTGGAAGCCATCATTTTCAGCAAACTAACGCAGAAACAGATAACCAAACACTGCATGTTCTCACTCATAAGTGGGAGTTTAACAATGAGAACATATGGACAGAGGGAGGGGAACATCACACACCAGGGCCCGTCGAGGGCGGGGTGAGGGGAGGGAGAACATCAGGAAAAATAGCTAATGCATGCGGGGCTTAAAACCTAGGTGATTGATAAGTGCAGGAAACCAAATGACACTCACATATCTATGTAACAAACCTGCATGTTCTGGACATGTATCCGGGAACTTAAAACAAAACAAAACAAAAAGCTATTTTTTTGGTTGTTTTTTGTTGTCATTGCTTTGTTTTGATATTTAGTACAATGAGGACTTAGTTTAGGATAACTATTTTTTATCATTAAGAAATATTCTTGTATTTTTAGTTGCCTTTTATTTACAAAATATTTGTAAATCAACTTTATAAAAATAGTATTTGGAATTTAGTATGGTGCAGTGTGTTTAGATTTGACATTGTCCCTATTCTTCTATATTCTAGTGTAGTCCCCTGATTTCTACTTATGTTTTTATATTTATGTAGACTTTCTGGCCCTATGGACCTTTAAGCTAGAGATACTTGTATTGGATTTTCAAAGTGGGAAAAATATGACGTTTTCCCAAAATTATTTATAAAGTTCATAGGAATCAAACTTAATTTTATTCTTCCAGGCTTCACGGCTTTAAAAAGAATACTATTCAGGAGAATGTCCTCTGTGGTAAAATTTTGGTGCATGGTTGTAATCATAAAATACAAATTGTTTAGTTATTTAGTTTATAGTATATTACAGAAAACACAGTTATCGGTGAGGAAAAGCTGAGCTGAAGCAGGTGGATTTACAGGAAAAGAACAAGAATGGGACCAAAAAAAAAAAAAAACTCCTGAGAAACACACAAATGCATTAGGTTTTTCTTCCTCTCTAGCTAATGTAGCTGATTTGAAAGGAAGTGATTGCTTCATTGAGTCAAGGCACTTCGATGATTGTTACTAACCTTCCTCTGGTGGGCAATTTCATTCTCACTCTTACAGCCCCCAAGGAACTGCATGGGTGCACACTAGAGGATTTCCTGACCAAAGTTCATGTACAGTGTAATTTAAGTAAAAGCCCTGATTATGTTCTGTGCTGCTCTGAGTTAAATGATAGGAAAACCTGATACATGTGGAAGGGCAGAAGGCAAGTGCGTGTGTTTTCCTCTCCTAGTTCAATAAAAGATAGCACGAGAAATGAATTAACTAATGCGATTCTAGACATTAAACAGCTAATACTGGGAAGTTGGAAGCAAAAAATGGAGTATCAAGAGTATTGACAAGACCAATTTACTGATTGATTGGTTTATATATCACATCTGATTGCTTCAATGTAGAACCATACTTCAACATACATATGTGTATACACACACACATGGGATTGGCATATATTCATCTGAATATTACAAGGAGTTAAATATCAGCCATATTAAAATCTATCGTATTTGTATTGCTAAATGCCCTACTTTGAATTTCTCAGTGGGTCTGTTAATTTTCCTGTGAGATGATTTTAGATATATCCAAAAGCATACTCTGAATGATTAGGACATTTTAGGAATTGATTCTATTAGCAATCTACCTTCTGGTAATATACACCATATCCTTAAGACTATCCTACTTTATTACATCCTGATCCCACCCAATGAAAGGCAGCAAAAGGAGCTACTGTTATGATGGAGTCCATTGTTTCTAAATTTATAACAGGTTCCATATGCTTACTCTTCTAAATTCTACCTGCTGTGTTTAAATTATTGGTTTATTAATTCAAGGACTAGCAATAGAAAGAAACAATCATTTTAATATTTGAGAGTGTTTTTATTTGATTCATAGGCTGATTTATGTTATGCAAGCAATTAGAAGAATAGCTTATGAAAATAATAATAAATACATTATAGCTTTACTTTCTCAATTGTCTTGAAAGCATAGTGTCTTAATCCTAAGTGGCATCCTTGTTTGAAACAAAGGTAGAGGCAAGAGATGCAGCCCCCACCCCTTCCTGGGGGTCTGACCATCCTTACCTGGCACTATTTTTTCTCATCACTTTTCACTATCTAATAAACTATAAAATATACATATTTATTGTGCTTATTCTTCCACTCACAGAATGTAAGCTCTGTGAGGAGAGGGATTTTTGGGTATTTCATTTTACTGCTATAGTCCCATAATAAGCACTCAGTAAGTATTGGTTGAGTGAATGAATGAATATGCAACATCGGAAGGTGACACTTTTCAACAGTGCACTAAGAATTTCAGCAAAAGCATTAGTTAACATTGATTTAGGGGCTAGTGAAGAAGTTTGGGTTCCCTTATTCGCTTTATTAAATTGTAGCTTTAGGAGGCCAAGAAAAGTTGAGGAACATCTACCAACAAATTGTGCTTCCCATGACTTTATGCCCTTGAGTCTTTTCTCCTTTGCCTAGATGTCAAAAATTTCTTTCCCCTGTATTTCTGACTGGCTAATTCCTAATCACCTTTCCAAAAACTTATTTCCAGTAGCCATTCCTCCAAGAAATCTTCTTTGACACCCCCAATATGGGGTAGATGCTTCTCTAATATTCTCAACCAGAATTCCATTCTTTAAATCATACCGGATTGTATATGTTTAGCTTCTTTCCTCTCCCCTGCTCTGAAGGCAGGGGTCATAGTTTTCTTGTTGTTGTTGTTGTGTTGGTTTTTTAAATTCAGACAGTGCTCAGTTCCTAGAAGGCACTCAATTAAAAATAAAAGTGTGGGGGTAGGTGGTGATGATGGGGAGGAGAGATGGGATGGGGGAATAGAGAAAAAATAGGAATAAAAGGTGATGAAAGGTTAATTAATCAAGAAAGAACATCTAGCCAATGAAAGGATTAGGGTATTACAATAGGTTTCCAAGAGAAGTTTATTTAACTA
Source organism: Homo sapiens (assembly GCF_000001405.40). Taxonomy (NCBI): domain Eukaryota; kingdom Metazoa; phylum Chordata; class Mammalia; order Primates; family Hominidae; genus Homo; species Homo sapiens. Next base: position 9,910,776 of record NC_000006.12, on the reverse strand, counting down.
AGGAATTCAGATCATACTATAAGCCAGGTAATATTCTAGGCACTGTGGGTGCTGCAGTGAGCTAAGAGAGAATGTCTTTGCATTCACAGAGGTTATATTTTAGTGGGGAAGACAGACAATAGTTGAGTATAAACTGTATTTGTAAAACGATGCTTAACAGAATGTAAAATTAATATAAAATGCATTTAAATTGTAAAAAAACATAAATTATAGAGTTGTATTACAGTATAGAACTTGGGAATGTTTAAAGGACTTCAGAACTAAGAGTGTCAAAGCTGTCTCTTTGCTCAAGTGACCTCAGAATTCTTTCCTTGTAAAATGCTGTACATGGGATCCCAGAATGGGAAACGCAAAATGAATCCCTCCAGGAGTGGTATTTGTAACTTGATACGTGTACATCAACCCACATGAAACGCAGAAGGAACAATCTGTATAGACCTTAAAGGGCCCTGCTTCCAGTTGTGTGTGGAGGCATCAAACTCTGAAGGGAAATGGTGGTCTGGAAGGCTCCCAGGGTACAGACCTGATTCATGTGCAGCTGGACAAGACCCCAACTTCTCCACTGACAACAGGGAAGCAAATGGTTTGAGAATCTAAAAACTAAATACACTACTATAGACTTTTGGTTAAATATGACTTAACTTTTTTCACCCTCCAAGGTTTTGATTATCTTGCTAACATTTACTAGTCAGTTATAGAAGACAAATAATTTGAGTTTTGTATTGGATTGGAGAAGCTTCCAGACTATGGGTACCAGTAGTTGATTGACAATATAAGGACTATGCTACCATGCTTGTGCTAATATAGGTGAATTATTTTACCAGCATATGGAAGGGCATAGTTAGAGTATCACAGTGCTTTGTGGTAGAGAAAAAGAAAAAACAATTACAGTGAACGAGGAAGAATGGTGTTATTGCAGTACATAAGACTTTGATTACATACCGCCAAGATTCATATCAGCCTAGTAGTTGTTGACAAATAAAGTAACAAAAATGAAACTCATTTATTTTTTGCTTATTGAGACCTCAAGGTAAAGCAGATTTTCAGTTTTTGTACTTACTGCATTGATAGAACAGAGACTGCCACAAAAATGTGTCAGCCCAGAAACAGAAATTAAACCTAGGTTCACATCAAAATTTCATTTAGCCTTGGAAAAGGAGCTGCTGTTTGGATTACTTTTGATCCTAAAACAAATATACTAAAGAATATCACAGTATACCTGATATGTATTAACCCTTCCCTGCAAACAATACTTTCAAAGTTGTTTTCATTCTACAAGGCTTTATTTCTTTTGCAATGTTTGAGGCAACTTGAATTATCGTCAGAGTAGGGTTCATTTTGCTGAATGCAAATTACTAGCCACAGACATATACATTTCAGTCTGCAGGAAGTATGAAACTAGATTTGGAAAATTAATAGCAGACCTTTTCCTCTATTACAAAGTTATACCTCATGCTACAGTTTGGTCATGAAGATAAGGACAGAGTAAGTGGGAGACGTGATGTGAGAAATTTTGGTTACTGGTGTTGAGATTGTTGATGTGTGTGGGATAAATTTCTGGCTAAGTCATTTGTATCTTCCCTTCATGTCACTGAAGTTGACATAAGAAAGATCTATAAGCAAGCCTGTCTTTTTTCTTTTCCTTCCTTCCTACTTTTCTCCCTCCCTCTCTCCCTTTCTTTCTCTCTTTCTTTCTTTTCACCCAACTAGCAACATGTACATTCTGCTGTAGTTTTTCATAATTAAGATAGTAAAATTGCCTGTGGAATTCTGGACGCAACAACATGATACACTTAGTAAAATATAAGTAAGTAAATATAATCATCCGTGAGTTCTACACATCATTATAATCCAACTATTTCCATGTCATGAGTATATCCTAAAAATAGTTTGGCTTAAGTTTTTTATTATTATTCTAAAGTCTACATTTGATAATTTTCTCATTAACTTTTTAGCAACAGAAAGATAGCATGAACTTGTTTCTTGAATTACCTTTTCTGACCTTTTGCAAGATGATAATTACAAAAAAGGGAGGCCTGGAAGACTTGTAAAAAAATTAAGCTTATAAAAGAGCTAAAATGATCCTTCTTTGCTGGTGTCGATTTCAAAATTAACATTTTGGTTCATGTGCTTCTAATAATCACTGACCCTTACCTCATGTACTTTCCACAGGAAATGAATACGGCAGAAATTACTTTGACCCACTGATGGATGAGGAAATAAACCCAAGGCAGTGTGCGACGGAGGTCAGCAGAGAAGGTGAGCTAGAATTAAGTATGTAATTTTTGTGTC